>NC_000012.12:27390040-27542735 GCF_000001405.40 Homo sapiens | reverse complement strand
AACAGAAAAGAAAGTCTACTCAACAGAAAAATAAATAGATCAGATAAAGAAGTGTTTCTAGCATCTAAATATAGTGATATTCACTAGAATTTCCCGTCTGTGCAGATCTACCAGCAATTCTAAAACTTTTAAACAAACAAAAAAAGAACAGCAGCATTTTCAGCTTTGAGATTCAGAAACAATCATTACTGAGCTTCTACAATGAATGAGCACAGTGGTGCTGCACTAGGCATCTTGCATATACTAGGTGGGCGCAAAATTAATTGCTGTTTTGGCATTGCAAGTAATGGCAAAAACCGCAATTACTTTTGCACCAATCTCAACTTAATCTTTTTAATACAGTTGTCCCTCAGTATCCATGGGGAATTGGTTTCCAGGATACCCACACACATACCCAAATCCGCAGATGCTAAAGTTCCTTACATATTCACATATAACCTACACACATCTTCCCATTCTCTCATATACTTTAAATCATCTCTGGATTACTTAAGACCTAATACAACGTAAATGCTATGTAAATAGTTGTTGCATTGTATTTTTTATTTGTATTTTTATTGTTGTATGGTTATTTTGTTTTTTCAAATATTTTCCATCTGCTATTGGTTGAATCCCCAGATGTGGAACCCTCAGATCCAGAGGGTCTACCATATTCCTACAAGGTACACATTGTTATTTCCATTTCACAGATGAGAAAACCAGGGTTCAGGATGGGTAAGTAACAAAGTCACAGTGCCAAGATAGGGCTATGTAGGGATTCCAGTCAAGATATGTCTGACTCCAAAACCTAAAACAGTTGGTGCCACCCTCTGCCTAATAGTACCACCAAGAAACTACGACCAGAAAACACAATGATGGAATTCTTTCTGAAGTAGAGCAGGTCAGCCCTGGAGTCGGAAGCTCTGGATTTTAATGATGCATCTATTGAGTGGTGGTTTCCTCCAAATTAATGGAGATGGAAACAGTATTTAAGCTCATAAGGTTGAGGTGAGAAGCATCTATAAAAGCCCTAGTGAAAGGGTTTTGCAAAACAGCTAAGTGCCAGGTAAGTGCTAGTTGTTACCTTCGTCTTCAAGCTACAGTTAGTGCAGCTGGTGAGCTGCAATAGGGCTGTGGGCTCCTATGAGTCCTCCCACAGGACTCAACCTGGGTGAGGCTGAGCAACAGCCTGCAGCCTCAAAGAGCAAAACTTAAGGGGTGAGAACTGGATGGGATGTGGCCTGAGTCTCTGCTCCGCCTGCCTTCTCACAGACTCAACACATGCCTAACACACCCCTTGCCAGGTGTAGTCACAGCTCGCTCAGCAAGCCGCTGGTTTCAGTCACTCAGATGTTTCAGGAATCTATGGAAGCCCCGCTGCCTTCAGTAAGCTCACTTCTATCAAGGGAAAAGAAATGAAAAAGCCAAACAAACAACCCTCGGCCCAAAAACAGCCTCCCCTTTTCTCACCAACTTTCTCTATTTTTTTTTTTCTCTCTCTCTCACACACACACACACGTGCAAGTTTTCCCATGATACATAGTGGGTGCCCATAAGCACTTCAGGCCCATTTATCCTCATCAGGAAACCCTGTGATACCCTACTTTGGGATATAATTTTAAACACTGATTATTCAGAATAGAGACTTCCAGAGCAGTAAGGGTTCATTTTAGTATAGACAGAGGAAAGTTGGAGAACCGCAAGTGCAAAAGACAATCAATAGATTAGCCTGCATAAATATTTTAAACCTCCATATCACTAACAAAAATAAAAGACAAACCGAATTTAAAAATTAGAAACAGCAGGTGAAAATATTTGCAGCAACTATGATAGAGGATTCATAAGTGAAATACACGAACTAGAGTTTATGACAAATGAGAAAAATACTAATTCCCAATAAATGGGCAGAGAACATGAACAGTTTGTTAAGAAACAGCCAATAGTCATATGAACATGATTTAGCTCAATAATATCAAATACATTAAAAAGAAAAACAAAATTTATTTTCTCCTAGAAAATTATCAAATGCTACTAATATGAGAACATCACTGTGCTAACAGGAGCAAAAATTAGTAGAAGCTTTGGGGCAGCTGACAACAATACTAATCAAAATATCCACACATATCCAATCCTTTTGTTCCACATGTGATCATCTATTGTATAGACAGGAATGATCTGAAATACAGAAAATACTGAATGCACAAATGCTCGTCAAAATTGAAAATAGGCTGGGTGCAATAGCCCATGCCTGTAATCCCAACACTTTGTGAGGCTGAAGATCACTTTTTTTTTTTTTTGTAGAGACAGGGTCACTGGCAAGAATCACTGATGCTGATGAAATTAAGACTTTTGGTGTTTGCCTTTCAAAGGATGATTTTGCAGTCTTTGGGATGGCTTTCTCGGGGTACCAGCTAACTACGCCAAACTCTTTGCATTCATTATCTTGTTTCATCTTTACAACCCTTCAAGGCAGCGTTTCTCAACCTCAGTACTACTGATATTTTGAGACAGAGTCTCTACAAAAAAAAAAAAATTAGCCAGACATGGTGGCACATGCCTATAATCCTACTACATGGGAGGCTGAGGCAGGAGGATCACTTGGGCCTAGCATTTTGAGGCTGCAGTAAGCTATAATCACATCACTCCAGCCTGGGTGACAGAGGAAGACCCTGTCTCTAAAAAAAAAAAAAAATTGAAAATAGGCTATATTTTATATTTTTACAATGGGATTAAATAATGAAACACCCACAGATGGAATGTTTTACAGTCCTTAGAAATATTTACAGACATTTTAGTAGTGTAAGGAAATGAAAATAAAACAATGTGAAGTTTTAAAAATAGTGGGACACAAAATTACATACGCAGAATATTTCATCTATGGAAAAAATATAGGAATAGAAAAAGAAGAAAACACACCAACACACCAAAGCTAATTATACCTTCATGTGAAAGTATTACTGATGCCTTTTTTTTAACTGTGTCTTCTCTATTTTTTCTATGTTACTCAAATTTTCTATAAGATACATATATTACCTTTATAATTACAAAAAAAGTGTAACAATTTCAAATATAAATCCACAATAAACAATAGATGGAAATCCAGCAGCTAGCTCTCCACCCTTCTACTCCCACAGATAGGCAGGTAAGGCAGTAAACAGTGGGGAAAGCTGCTTTGTTTAAAATCCAAGGCTAGAAAAACATAGGGCTTCTTGATGTGAAAACCAAAACGTTTCATGTCTCACGTATCAAAACAGGTTTTGGGAATTTGATAGTCAAAACATTTTCCATCAGAAGATTTAAACCCGCACACCAAAATTATCTCCACAGAACAAACTAGTAAAGCAAGCAGGAAGTTTACCAGGAATATCCTAAAAACTAATAATGGCTTTTACAGCTCTGATAAACCCACGCCAGCTCATGGTAGTACACAGTGTAACATAAACAATCTCCAGTGAGTCTGTCACCACTCCTAAACAGGACAGCATGAAATCCTTAGCATAAGGCTTCTCACTGGCAAGAATCACTGATGCTGATGAAATTAAGCCTTTTGGTGTTTGCCTTTCAAAGTATGATTTTGCAGTCTTTGGGATGGCTTTCTTGGAGTAACAGCTAACTACACCAAACTCTTTGCAGTCATTATCTTGTTTCATCTTCACAACTCTTTAAAGCAGCATTTCTCAACCTCAGCACTACTGATACTTAGAGGCAGGATAATTCTTCATTGGTGGGGGGCTGTCCTGTGCATTGTAGGATGGTTAGCCACATCCCTGGAACGTACCCACCAAATGCCAGCAGCACCCCCACCCCCAGGTTGTGACACAAAAAATGTCTCTTGACATTGCCAAATGACTGCTACAGGTCAAAATCACTGCAATTGAAAACTACTGCTACAAAAGTATACAGTATTACTGCCCCTATTTGACAAATGAGGTCCATCTAACTCCAGAGCCCAAGATCCACCATTCCATACTACTTTCGTGCCCAGGTAGGAGGCCAAGCTTAGAGTATAACTAATACTGCATTTTCTAGCTGGGGCATCTTTGCATCTCCATGGAGCCTGGTATAGGCCTAATGCATATTGGTTGAATGAACCAATCATCTCATCACATATTTACTGAGTTCCTACCAGGTAGCAAGCATTGTCAACAAAGGCAGTCATGGTCTTCAACTAGTCCATAATCTATTTGAAGAAATAAGACAAATCCAGAAAAGAGCCATTTTGAGAGTCAGTGTTGGAAAAAATTCTCAGTTTCCTCATCTGTAAAATGGAGGTAATGCTAGTGCTACGTCATAATTAACTGAGATACTGCAAGTAAAGTTCCTATCACAAAGTACAATTTCAAATAACAAGTAGATGCCAGATCTCAAAATCACTGGGCTGGAAGGAACCTTCAAAGACAACCTTAACTCACCACCGAATTGGTACTTGAGCAGTTAAAACCCCAAAATTTGATTACCTGCTTCCTGCAAAGTTCCTGCACGAGTGAGTTCTGACTGAGACTGTCAGCTAAGTTTTCCTGATGAACTGCTTTTAAGTGGGTCTGGAGGAAAGAGGAGAGGTTAAGCAAAGAGAAGAGCGATAGGAAAAACAGAAAGGTTTGCTGGACTTAAAGCCATCCAGGGATTGGAGCCGGAGTCCTCTGCACAGAAGAGCAGGGAAAGGCAAGCTTGGAGAAAGGTCAAGATCAGATGAGGTCACAAGATGATACAGTGGTAATAATAGCCAGGCGAGACTTAAGAAATATTTCTCCTAAAAAAAGCAACCAAAGGCTGCTACAAAGCATACACCCAATTTCCGTTATGAACGGGGAATTTAATTTCTCAGACTAAAAGATCAACATTCAGGTTGCTTCACACCATTCTTAAGAATAGCCAGATACCTGCTTTCCATTTACATAGCTAAAAGTGAAGATTTTGCCACAGCAAAGAATCACTCTGCCTTAAGAGTAAACCCAAGAACAAGATGGACTGGGCATCTTTCTCCCCATGCCCAGTCCATCTTGTTCTTTAAGGCACCAGCGCAGGACAAGGAAACAAGAGCCCACAGTGGCCAGACCTCTTTTTAAAATCTGAATTTCAATAGGTGAATTTCAGTAAGTAAACCCTCCCAAAGCAAGTGTTGGCTGAAACTTCTTTATTAATAACACGCAGGCCAAACCAACCCTGTCTCCATGCAGTCTCCACCCCGGGAACACAGGATGAGAACTCTGCTGTAAGCCATGGCTCACAGGAGGTCAAAGAAAGCTTTGGAGTAGGCAGGGTGGCCTGGAACCAAACTTACTTGGAAAATTTGTCTGGCAGTAAGGTGCAGAATAAGGAAACGGGGGGCCGGGCGCGGTGGCTCACGTCTGTAATCCCAGCACTTTGGGAGGCCGAGGCCGGCGGATCACGAGGTCAGGAGTTTGAGACCAGCCTGGCCAACATAGTGAAACCCCATCTCTACTAAAAACACAAAAAATTAGCTGGACGTGGTGGCAGGCATCTGTAATCCCAGCTACTCAGGAGGCTGAGGCAGGAGAATCACTTGAACCAGGGAGGCAGAGGTTGTAGTGAGCTGAGATCACACCATTGCACTCCAGCCTAGGTGACCGTGAGAGACTCCGTCTCAAAAAAAAAAGAGAGAGAGAAGGGACTACCTGCAGGGCTCCAGTAGGAGACAACGGCAAGGTCTGTATCAGAGAGAAGGAGGATGCGAACCCAGATATACTGGTAGGGGGAATGAAGAGTGATTAAAAAATTATTGAAAGGCAAAAATGACCTTGCTGATGACCAGAAGAGAGTCCCCTAGGCTACCACCCACAAACCTGTTACATTGCAAACTTTAATAATGAAGCTGAGACGTTAGGACCAAGGGAAACTTAGCCTCAAAAGTGAGCTCTTTGACTTCTGAGACATCTTCATGGACCTGTGACCTGGGCAGTAACACAGGACCCCATGCTCAGAAAAGACCCACAGTTGGTTTAATACTCTACTGTCACCATCTTGAGAATGATAATAATTTTGAATTTGCGTTTTGTAAGTCAGGTCCAATGGGACAATGGAGCCCACAAGTGAGCAGAGGAGAACGATGTGATATGATTTGGATGTTTGGCCCCTCCAAATCGCATGTTGAAATGAGATTCCCACTGTTGGGGGTGGGGCCTGGTGGGAGGTGACTGGATCGTGGGGGCGGATCCCTCATGAATGGTTTAGCGCCATTCCCCTTGGTGAATCTTGCTCAATTCGTTCATGGGAGATCTGGTTGTTTAAGAGTCTGGGGCCTCTCCCTTCTGTCTCTCTTGCTCCCTATCTCACCGTGTGACAAGCTGGTTCCCCTTGCCTTCTGCCATGATCGGAAGCTTCCTGGGGGCCTCGCCAGAAGCAGATGCTGGCACTATGCTTCACGTACAGCCTGCAGAACCGTGAGCCAAATAAACCTTTTTTCTTCATAAATTATCCAGTCCTAGTTTTCCTATATAGCAATGCAAAACAGCCTAACATACGACGTAATATGTACAGCCACCATTCCTGGCCTCTCTATTCACACAGTTTTCCCAATGCACCATGAGCTCAGAATTCCCGTGAACTCCTGGTGCGTGGGAGTTCAGCAAGACTTCAAGCGAGTGCAAGGTAAGTGTGTTACCAATACAACTGAGTAAGCAGGCAGGTGGGTGCTGACTGCCCAAAGAGGCAATGACTTCCATTTGAACCAGAACTTGATTGCATACAGAAATGTCTTTCTAAGAAACACAAATGACCAAGGAGGCTTAGCGTTTTATCTCTTTCTCATGTTACTTAACCATATTAGCCAACCACTTATGCTGAAAATGACGGCACAAAAGGAAAAGGAAAGATAAGGCAACTCATAGTTGCTTCTCCTTTCAGTCTTTCATTACACATCATAAGCCAAAGGTAGGTAGGTGTCAGTAGAATGTGCACATGTCAAGAAGTGAAATAAAAGTAGTTTAGTTTTGTGCAGTGTTTCTACTGTTCTCATAACAATATACATATGCGTCGACAACTTCAGTAATTCTGCATATGAGTTCAATGCTCTATATTTTCATTTAAAGCCAGCATTGCACTGGGCGCAGTGGCTCACGCCTGCAATACCAGCATCTTGGGAAGCCAAGGCAAGAGGATTGCTCGAGTCCAGGATTTCAAGACCAGCCTGAGCAACATGGTGAGATCCTGTCTCTACAAAAAAAAATTGCCAGGCACGCATCTGTAGTTCCAGCTACTTGGGAAGCTGAGGGGGAGGATCACCTGAGCCCAGAAAGTAGAAGCTGCAATGAGCCGTGACCACACCACCTCGCTGTAGCTTGGGTGACAGAGTGAGATCCTGTCTCAAAAAACAAAACAAAACAAAACAAACAACAACAACAACAAAAACAACATTGTATAATAAAAAGATGAAGAGTAAATTCATGCTAAAAACTTCACTGCTTAGTTTTTTAATTTTTAAATTGAATTCATGCTGTAATTTTAATTTTTAATTTTTCTTCACATAGAATGACAAGTAGCCAATACTATGACAAGTCAAGAGAAAAAAACTGTATGAGAAAGGAAAGAAGCTTCATATTTTAGTACCTTTAACAGCACTTTTTTCTTGCCTTTTGAATAAGGGGTCACACATTTTCATTTTGCAACAGGCTCCACGGATTCTATAGTTGGCCCAGCTGAAAACCATTGAACTCAAGAATATTATGCCTATCAATTTATACTGTACACACTTGAACAAGCCTTTACTGACATCTTTCAAAGCAACCACCATAAGACCCACCAATGGACTGATGGGGTAGTGGTTTTCAGTACCACATTCTTAATCATTGCATTCTTCAATCCTTTTCTCACATACCCCTAATGTCATTACCACAACAAATCTGCTGAAATGCCACAAGCCTATGTCTTTTCAACTAAAGATCTTTCTAGAAATAAGTAAACTGAAGATCAGAGACCACCTTATCAGGAGGAGAATTTAATCCAGTGCTGTCTCTGTTGGACAACTCCTTTCTACAGAGTATTTCCTGGTGCTTTGATGTATCTGTTTTAACCAAACCCTAGCTGTGGGCTCCAAAACCAGTTGTCTCTCACCACTCAGAGCTCAGGTTTCCCCCAAGAAGTTGGCCTGTGAACCATCAAGTCTGGTTGTCTAAAAATTCCTCCTTCAAAGACAGTCAAGTTTCCCTTTGTCTAATTTCATTCTCTTTTTTTTTTTTATAACCACTACTTTCCACTTCAATAAACCAACTTCCTGCCTCGAGACACATTCTGGCAAATGTGTCAGTTTGTATTGTTCAGATGAGAGACTTCTGTCATTCTTTCAAATTTTTCCTCCATGACAATAATCCCCAGAGCCATCCTCTCAGGAGCCTGAGTTACTTGTCTGTGAATTTCCTTTCACTGCTTCTTACTCTACTGATAAATCAATGCAGACCGCCTGCAGTGAACTTACTCAATTCGTATCCCTTCTGATCACATCTTTTTTTTTTCCATTTCCCCTATCCTCTCTTCCATCGCATCAGAAGAAGGGTTCTTATGGATTTCGAGGCTAACCCACTGCCCTCCACTTGATTTTGGGTCTAGCCCCATCTCTCTACCCTGGACCATGCACTCATTCCTTCCTCCCTTTTTCTTCTTTTAATATCCTCCTCTCTACCTGAGCCTTCCTCAAACCCAAGCTATCTACCATGTCTCTCTCGGATCAGTTCCTTGAAAGGATGAACTAACCAGGCCACCTGCAGTTCATCAGCCCCCGTGTAGTCCTCAATTTTTTGCATTCTGGATTCCAGGTTCATGAACTGACCTGACAGCAGGACCAGGGACAGTCTGTTGGATACAGCTTTGTAACGAGTCTGTTGCACTGGATGGCATGATTAGTTCACTTACGTTGTGCTTCTTCCCTTGGCCACCATCATCCTCCACTTCTCTGCAGATCCTGCTCTATCTCCTCTCCTAACTTCTTTTTTGCCTGACCATTTCTAAATATCAGGAGTCCCCTGAAGACTGTATGCTTGCTTCTCTTTTTACTCTACATACTCTTGTTCGGGGAGCTCAACCATTCTCACTCTTTACATAACAGCCCTATAGAGATGATCCATTAGTCCAGGCTTTGGCCTAAACTCCAAGCCTAAATTTCTAAATTCTTGCTTAACATCTTCATATGAATAATGTCAACTAACAGTTCATACTGGCTTTTAACACCCCAAGTACAGAACCATGCCAGAGGTAGGACTATGAAGAGGCTGAAGATACTGGCCCTGGAGCTGCACCTGCCTGAGTTCAAATTCTGAGTCTGACACACATGATCTGTGTGATCCTGGGAAAGTTACTTAGCCTCCTTGTGCCTCAGATTCCTCATCGTAATATGGGATTAATCTAGGTTGAAATATTTAAGGTGCTTAGAGTAGTGCTTGGTACATAAAAAGTATAACCTACCAGGTAAGTGTTACCTATTATTATTGTTATTCTCCTAAAAACCTGATAAGATAGGTATTATTATTTTATCCATTTATACAATGAGAAAATTAAGGATAATGTGGGTCATGATGGAATTTCAAACTCCAGATGTTCAAATCTTAACTCATATTTCCCATTAAAATTCAACTTTCACTTAGCCAGGCATGGAGGCATGTCCCTGTAGTTCCAGCTACTCGGGAGGCTGAGTCAGAAGGATTGCTTGAGCCCATGAGTGCACAATGATCACAACTGTGAATAGCCACTGCTCTCCAGCCTGGGCAACATAGCAAGACATCATCTTTAAAAGAAAATTAACTTTTGTATACGGGCCATTCTTGATTTAGGGTGTTCTGTCCTTCTCCCTCCCCTTGCCCATATACCCACTAGAAATACCCAATCTGCTATTTCCAGAGTCATTTTTATAAAACAATAGTTCCCTTACTTCTTCTTTTCTTAAAAACATCCTGTTTTAAGGTACAATCTTGTCACTCTCTTTAAAACCCTGTAAGATTTGCCCCAATATAGCTTACGTCTTTTCAAACAATATTGTTCTCTCTTTTCTCTAAATCGAATCTCACTCTATTCTACATTTTGCTCCAAACCCAAGTATGCTCATCTGTCCCCACTGCCTCCTCAAAATCTCCTCCCCACCCTTTAAGACCCAGTCAAATCCCACCTCTTCTAATGAAACCTCAAGAAACCCAGTCTCTTCCTTTGCTCTGGTGACTAGTCTAGTTCACAGAATGCTCTTCCCCAACCAACCTCCAAAAGGACCAATAAATAGATGTTTAAAATTTTAACATATTTTGTATTTCTCGAGTAATGTAATATAGATGTAATATACTGTAAAAAAAAAAAAAAATACAAAGTTCCCTTCATCCCAACTCCCATAAGCCATCCCACTTGGCAGTTTTTCATGCACTGACAAATGTAAACCATACACGTGTGCTTGGTTTTTTACTTCTTAAAATATATATAATAGACATCTGTACAAGTCAGTATATTCAATCTTTTTAACAGCTAAACAGTATTCTAAATCTGCATTTTATTACAGTTATGAATAAGGTGTGCCATCTCTTTCTGCCCCCATCTCCTGTATGTGAATACTCTTAAGGTAAAGATCATGTTTTGTTTGTCTTTCCGTCTCCAAGAGGATCTTGTACCAAGGCTGGGAATTGCTTAACACGTGCTTAATGAAATAGTAACAACAATATCTGTCATCAAAGCAGTGCATGTCGTGTGCCAAGAAACCAGCTGTTAGTGCTTCACATACATTATCAGATGTAATCTTCATAACCACCCAATTATTCCCATTTCACAGAAGACTTAACCAAAATCACACAGCTAGTAACAACAGGGGATTCTAATCCACATCTGTCTGACTCTGGAGTCCCCGCCCTTCATCCCTATGCTATAGTTAATAAAATTTTTATAAGGACATCCTTATAAACCAAAGCTGGAAAACAGAAGAGTTCCAAGTAGTCTGGTGTGGGCAGGTGGGAATGAGGATAAGAGACAGGAGGCGGAATAAATGCCAAGTAGATGGAGTCAAGGGATTGTAGCTATAAACCTACCGAGAACCTTCTAGGAGAAAGAGCTGAATTCTTTGCCTCCCCCTTTCAGACTCCCCACTACACTTCCCTTTGGTAACAGTGCCACCATTTGTTGAAGATCTTCCATGTGCTGAATATGCCATTATTATTCCTATTAATAATTTCTGGCCGGACGTGGTGGCTCATGCCTGTAATCCCAGCACTTTGGGAGGCTGAGGCCAGCAGATCATCTGAGATCAGGAGTTTGAGACCAGCCTGGCCACGATGGTGAAACCCTGTCTCTACTAAAAATACAAAAAAAAAAAAAAATTAGCTGCTCATGCTGGTGGGGACCTGCAATCCCAGCTCCCTGGGAGGCTGAGGCTGGAGAATCGCTTGAACCCAGGAGGTGGAGGTTGCAGTGAGCCGAGATTGCAACACTGCACTCCAGCCTGGGTGACAGCACGAGACTGTCTCAAAAAAAAATAATAATAATTTCTAATTATTTCTAATCCTTCAAAAAATGCTATGGCACATATATCAGAGCTACCATTTTATAGATGAGAAAGCTGAGACCCAGAGAGGTTAAGTTACTTGCCAATATTAGACTGTAATAAATAGCAAAGCCAGGATTCAAGTTGAGGATCTGCATGGCTCCAAAGTCCTGTTTTTCTCGTACAAAATAACACGTTTTTATTTTTAAAGAAAAGATGAACTATGATTTTTAGACA
Organism: Homo sapiens; assembly: GCF_000001405.40. NCBI lineage: Eukaryota > Metazoa > Chordata > Mammalia > Primates > Hominidae > Homo > Homo sapiens. The sequence continues at coordinate 27,531,058 of NC_000012.12, read as the reverse complement.
TCTAGACTCAGTTAAGATCACATTTGGCTGCAAGTAACTGACCCAAGTTCTGTGGTTTAACCAAGTAGAGATTTTATTTTTCTCACAGAGTCAAGAAATGGGTCCAGTAGAGCAGTTGCAGAATGCTATCAGCTTCTCAGCCTCCTTCTAACCTTCCACCCACTCATCCTTAACCCTCAAGCATCTTGTCTTTGGTCACGCGATGGCCTGCTTACTTTCTCCAGGGAAGAAGTACAAAGAGCAAAAGGCTTAACAGGCAAGCTCACAGAGGCTTCCCCTTTTAAGAGCTTTGGGGAACGGGGCATCCAGCTATTTACATCTCATCAGCCAGGACTACTGTCACTGAACCACCTCCCAGCTGCAAGGGATTCTGGGAAATCTAGCACTTAACTGGACATAGTGGTGAATTAAACAAAATGGGTTCAGTTACAGAAAAGGAGGGGGGAATGGATATCAGTTGGGCATCCAGCTGTGTCTTTCCCACATGAAGTGCAAGTCATCCTAGAGAATCAAATTCCCTTAGTAGAGAAAAACAATAAAAGAAACTTAATTCTGTGTTTAGTAGCTTTCTCAGTTATGCAAAGTCACACATTGATGGGGGTGGAGGATGGAAGGATCTGAAAGTTTGACAAAACCATCCAGGCAGCTGATCCAGAGGAAAAACACCGAGATTCAGGTGACTTCACACAAATGGCCCTGGCAAGATCACAGGTTCAACCAGTGTGTCTCCTGTGAGTCGTCACTGTTTCCCTTCCACCCTCTCACTTCCCAGAGTTAATTTCGAGAACCCACAGGTTCATTCGACTCTTCCATCATTCACAAGAAAAAGTAGATGTATTCAAATTCCAATGCAAACAAAAGAAAATTCTATACTGTGTTGTTATAAGAGGCAGCATCTTTAGAAAAAGATAACGGTTGCAAAGGCATTCTTTATGCAATAGCAGCCGCCCTGTCAAGTCACTAGATGAAAAAAGTAGACCACAGAGTTTCAACCTTGTTTTCATTTTTTCTAAATAAAGTAAATACAATAAACTTTCCTCATGAAAAACTTTTGCAATTCTGTGGTAGTAAGATAATATTTGTGTAGAGTACTATGGATGAAGAGAAGGATAACAAAGTGCCAGCAAAAGGACATCAGTGAGCTTGATCCTAGGCACGGAAATACAAGAAAACACAGGTACATTTAGTGATATGGTACAGTATTACTGCATACCATAAAAGAGTCCACACTCTTCCCAATGGGCCTACCTAGTTCTTCCCCAAAACTACCTTGCTGGCCTGAAGAATCTGGCCACTTCTTAAGAGTTCAGCTATTATTGCTAAAAGGAAAAATTAAAATTTGGCAACTTACTATTATTATTATTTTAGACAGAGTCTTGCTCTGTTGCCCAGGCTGGAGTGCAGTGGCGTGATCTCAGCTCACTGTAACCTCCGCCTCCCGGCTTCAAGCAATTCTCCTGCCTCAGCCTCCTGAGTAGCTGGGACTACAGGCATGCGCCACCACATTCGGCCAATTTTTGTATTTTTAGTAGAGACGGGGTTTTGCCATGTTGGCCAGGCTGGTCTCGAACTCCTGACCCCAAGTGATCCATCCACCTCAGCCTCCCAAAGTGCTGGGATTACAGGCATGAGCCATCGCGTCCAGCCTGGCCACTTCTTTAGGAATAGACTTGCCACTGAAAAAAGCCTTAGTACCTCTTTCACCAGGTGAAATGGAGTTTCACCTCTTAACAAAGACACACTAAGAATGAGCATACCTACTCTTCTGAACTTGTCTTTTCATGTCAAATGAATAATTTCCCTAAATTAAAGGAGAGGTGAAAATATCCAGGCCTATTGTGGAGTCCAGAGGGTGTCCATAAAATCTAGGGCCAGCCCCAAACGTGATGGTGGTACTTGATCTTCCTCCTACATGATCCATATTTAAGACATGACCCTTGGCCAGAATGACGGATACTCAGTGCAATTTGAGTTTATACAATTCCTTCAGGCATGGACATTGTTAGGTGCACCCCTGTACATAAAACCACTACATGATCTTTCTATTCTGAACTCATTACACTTGCCAACAAAAACAAGGATGTGTGTGTGGGCCAGTCAAAATGTGAGTCCCATCAAGTTCCAGGGAGAAGCATAACCAAAGAGCACTCACAAACTGTGACAACACATCCACTTGGACCACTCAGAGTCCAAACCCACCTTTCAGAAATAGACACTCTCCAGTGGGTTTAGACTGGTACGTATTTACCTCAGGTTCTCTCTCCTCCTCCCCCAAACTGCCTAAAAAGTGCGTAAACTTAAAACTCCTAGAAGAACCCATATTTCTTTTATCTAAAATCCAGTTGTCTGGTATGTTAGGTTTTTTTTTGAAGTGGAAAAAAAATGCTCACCACTTGGCTTCTGGAAACATTATCACTGAACACCAATTGAGCATCAGTAATTATTATATCTAAAATGAAGGGTGTAAAAGAAAGATTCTATGTATTTTGTAGGGTGGAATAATTCAGTTTAGTTTTAAATTTATGAGCTCCATTTAACGCAGCATCAATTTTTGCGGCAGTGACATATATGACAAAAGCTGTAGGGTTTTGTTTTGTTTTTTACTAGGAAGAAGGTTCTGACGTGCACTGCAATAAATTTGAAAAATAACTGACATAACACACTACTGATGCACTGAATTACAAGAGCCCAGAGCAGTTTTTGGACAGTTTGATAACTGATTTAATTGTGAAGTTATCCACCTTTGGTTGAACAGAAAATGCTGGCCAGAAGACATTTTGTTCCCTTTATTCACAAAGAATACCCTGCATAACCAGGCGTGGTGGCTCACTCCTATAATCCCAGCACTTTGGGAGGCTGAGGCAGACAGATCACCTGAGGTCAGGAGTTCGAGACCAGCCTGGCTAACATGGTGAAACCCCGTCTCTACTAAAAATACAAAAATTAGCCAGGCGTTGTGGTATACACCTGTAATCCTAGCTAACTGGGACCCTGAGGCATGAGAATCATTTGAACCCGGGAAGTGGAGGTTGCAGCGAGGCAAGATCACGCCACTGCACTCCAGCCCGGGCAACAGAGAGCGACTCTGTCTCAAAAACAAACAAACAAACAAAAAAGCAAAGAATACCCTGCATCAAAATGAGACAGTAACCCTAACAGCTTTGACTCGCATATTTAAATCCATCTGTTTGGCCACGGTTAAAAATAACAAAATAATCATGATAGTTATGATTATGGCTCCCTGAAAGATTTCACAACTGGCTGCTCAACTGTGATTTTTTTTTTTCTTAATTTTGGAGCTAATATGACTTTCTAAGGAAATCTCTGAAAATAAAAACGTCATTACGCAACATTTCTTGCCTATGTTTTCGCCTTGAAGCGACGTTTCTTTAATAAAGAATCAAGACACAGACCCAAACATGAATGAATATGCATTCATTAATTCACTCCTTCATCGTTTTGAAAAGGTAATTCAAACTAGGCCAGAGACACGTAATAACATCTTTGAAAAGACAGGCTGGGCACCCAGGGCTCACTCATGTAATCCTAGCACTTTGGGAGGTCAAGGTGGGTCGACTGCTTGAGCCCAGGAGTTCAAGACCAGCCTGAGCAACATGGTGAGAACCCGCCTCTACTAAAAATACAAAAATTAACCGGGCATGTTGGTGCATGACTGTAGTCCCAGGGAAGGCTGAGGTGGGAGGATCATTTGAACCTGGGAGGCAGAGGCTACAGTGAGCCGAGACTGCACCACTGCACTCCATCCAGGGCGGCAGAGCGAGACCCTGTCTCAAAAAAAAAAAGAAAAAAGAAAAGACAGAGTGCTGAATGAGGTCTTCTTTCAGTTAACAGTTTGAAAATTATGCTGGTTTGGGATATAAACGAAAAGTTAATTTTAATGTAACAAATTATCAACATAATCTAAATTTACTTATACAAATATTTTATGAATAGGAAAGGTTTTAAAAGAAGTCAGCTAGTCAGTAACTGAGGGGAAAAATGACCTTGTTCTGATTTATCTCACGGTGGAACAGGGAGCTACAAAAAGACTACATAAACAGTTAATTAACTGTCCCTCGGTGAACTTGTTCCCAAAAAAATGTCAGTGATGCCCTTGAAATTAGGCACTATTGATCTGGAACTTCAGTGTGTCCTGGATTTCAAATCAACATTTATCCATTAAGGCCAGATGACCTTAATTTTTATTTTATTTATTTATTTTTGAGATGGAGTTTTGCTCTAGTCGCCCAGGCTGGAGTGCAATAACGAGATCTCAGCTCACTGCAACCTCCGCCTCCTGGGTTCAAGCGATTCTCCTGCCTCAGCCTCCCAAGTAGCTGAGATTACAGGTGCCCACCACCACACCCGGCAATTTTTTTGTATTTTTAGTAGAAATGGGGTTTCACCATGTTAGCCAGGCTGGTCTCCAACTCCTGACCTCAGGTGATCTGCGTGCCTCAGCCTCCTAAAGTGCTTGGATTACAGGTGTGAGCCACCAAGCCTGGCCGACCTTAATTTTTAAAGTTGCTCTTGGAAATATGACAGTTGTTGGTCACAGGAATTTAACCAAAAACTGATCCTACCTTTCTCAATAACTCAAACATCTTTTAAGTATTCCGTGTTTTCCTACACCATATCTGCCTCATAAACATGGACTGAGAAAGAGAAATATTGGTTTAAATTAAGTATGTAAAATTACTGCTATTATTCAAACTGTGAATCAAATTTAGAGTTTTGGTATATTCAAGTCCCTAAACTAGGACTAGTTTCTTGGAAAGAAAGTGTAAATCTGAATTTGGCACATAAGGATAACATCCTAAAGATACTCTTCTTTACTGAACCGTCTGGCTTTTGCAGCCCCATCTTTTGGTATTACAAATGCAGTTGGAACACTATCAGCCAAGGAACACTACCGTGAGTTCACATTAGCCCACAGGAACTCCACTCCACAGCTCTATCCTACTGAAAAAGTACACTGGAAAATACAGTATGTTTTATGTACTCCCCATAGAACATAAATAGAAAAGACTTGTTCACCATTATTGCAGAGCCATTTGCAATTTCTGTGTCTTAAGCCAAAATACAAACCAAAATTAAAATGTTGTCTTTCCAATAAAGCGAATTTTCCTTTCTCAAAAAGCCTGCTATTTTATCCACTCTATTTAATTTTTTCAGGAACTAACAACAATACAGACCCAGGTATGTCATAAACAACAGCACAACCAAACACTTCTTTCTAGTTCTGAAACCTAATGATCATTTGGCTAGAAAGATAGAGAACCCCATCTATAGTCCTCTATCCCTTTTCCTGACTTGGGTTTACTAGACCTACTGTTGTGGCTTCTTTCTTTCTCCATCTCCTGGAAATGCCTTTTCCCTTCAGGGGCCTGGGATACGGATTTTGACTCACAATGAAGTCCACTCCCATTTCCTCCAGACCTGGCAACAGTAGGATCCTCACTGCTGAGGAGGAACTTCGGTGAAGGAAAGGGGAAACTTGACTCAGGAGTCTCAGCGCTTACTTTTTTTTTTTTTTTTTTTTTTTCCTTCCTGCTCCAAAAGAGAGCCTTAAAGCACTGATGAGAGGGTCCTGAATCGGTGTATGGAGTCAATTTCCCCGCCCCCTCGAGAAAGTCAATCACACCCAGTTAGTGACCTGGGCACACAAAATCTCCACATAGGAAAAAGACAGGGTTTGAAATAGGAAATAAACAAAAATCAGAATTCTATTCTTTCACTTCTTAAAAGTATCTTTTTCCTCCCGCAATTGCTTTCTCAAAATACCAAACTTGGACTTTGAAATCAAGTTCTTTTTCTATTGCTCTCCGCAGTTCTTACTGAAAGCAAGGATTTGTTTTGGTCCCACATGTTGAAAACTTCACGTCCCTATAATTAAGAGTTTATATGCCACGCCTTCCACCGCGTTTCCCTGTTAAAACTCCCTTCTCTAAAAAAGATCCCTGAAAACACAACTACCAGCTCGCCCCTCAAGCAGCCACAGGAAACAGATCTGAAGATTCTCAGCAGCCATCCTAACCTCTCCAGATATAAAGCTGGCAGCTGAAGGGATTTCTCGGTTAAAATGAGTGAATACTAGTTGCAGTTTTAGAAGTGTGCCCCCAAGAGACGAGTTTTCCCGCAAGCTCATAATTAATAAACACCCCAAGTGAATTTCTCACATCCTGACTGGATTACACAAAAGGATATTTTACATTGATATATAAGACTAACATTGATATTCTTTTAATATATAATAGGCCACAAGGAGACAAAAAAATACAAAACTTTTTTTTTCTTTTCAACGAGCATAATTTTTGAGTCGATGATCCATAATTTTTTGTGGCATTTTTAAATGCCTCAATACACACAGACAGAGAGACACACACGCCCCTCTGGTTGGGGTTCTCAGGTATTACCGGGAGCCTAGGGTGTGGGGGTCTAAGGATACAGACAAGACCTAAACGTCCAATCCTGGAGTATTCTTCACGTACAAGCTCGGTCCAAGCCCCAGGAGTTAAGCCCTACCCCTCCACCCCCACCACCCCCAAAAAGTGCCCGTTCCCATTGGGAAACAGGAGTGAGTTGCACAAGGAAATCGACCCGGGGAAGAGGAGGAGCAGCTGCAACAGCCAGCTGCAGCCACACAACGGTGCCACTTCCCTCCCGTCTGGGAGTGGAGCAAAACGCCCTTACCTGGGGGGTGGAGAGCCGCCGGCACTAGTTCCAAAAGTTCTGGTCCACCTCCTCTCGGAGTTCAAAGCCCCAGCACTCCGGCCCGGCCGCCAGCTCGCAGCACACGAGTCCTTCCCCGTCCTTTCCCCACCCTGCCTGCACTACACCATGTCAGGAATCCGGGCAGGCACCGAGCTGGGAGCTGACATCACTCCCAGTTCCAGGTACCTCCCCCTCCCACTGCCGCCCTTCTCTCCTCCCTCCCTGCAGGAATCAGCCAAAGAGAGTCAGCAGTGGGGCGGGGCCGGGGGCGCCTGCGCGCCCGCTGATTGGAGCCGGGGAACGTCACTCAGAGGAGTCCACTAATTTTATGCATTCCTCGCTGAGCCAGACTAGGGCTGGAAGTGGGTGGATGGAAGAAAATGCTGCCCTTCCTGCTATCTCTAAGGAACGGAGATAATCCGATGGGGAAGAACCTGGCGGGTCGAGTTTTAAACTTTTCTTGTTGTAGTTACTGAGATTCCAGATCAGAAACGAAACTAACCCACGCGAACCCCCTTTTTAAGGAGAAACAATTGCCTCGGTGTCACAGGCACACGGGCATGTACAAGCCCGGCGGCGCGTGGTGTAGAAAATGGCTAGCTTTAAGCCATGCAAATAAAGGAAAACGTCAGCTCACCCTTCTGCCCTTTTATCCTGGGACTGCTGGGTGTTCCCTTAGACGGGGAATGTAGAACTTCAAAAGCACTTCAGAAAGATTTGGAAGAGACTCCTGAAAACGGTGACCGAGCTTTGAATTGTTAAGTGGTGGTGTTGTCAGCCATGTGGCTGCTGTTGCTTTTAGCGATGAAAATCACACCACACAAGCTTCTCGGGCAAGTAAAATTGAATCTCTGAAGCAAGAAAAATGTATTTCCCCGTTTAAAGACCTTAAGGCTGCTGTTTCAATGCACACACTGAAAAGGGTGGAGGAAGGAGGGACCTCACAATTGAGTTCCACAAACCACATGAGAATAATTACTGTAGAATGGAACCAATTGTAGTGGCTGAGCTCTCAATTAAGAATTAACTAACGTTTATCCTTGACAGATATCATGCGGTATAATCCCCTTGGCTGACAGAAGAAAAAGATTCTCAGAAAATGGTTCTTTCAAGGCAGATGCTGCTTACAGGCAGACCTGAATGGTGAAAAGCAGCTTTATTTGTATGAGATATAGGTAGCATATAACCCACCATCTTCTAAAAATATAGTGAATTAATAACTTTCTCTTTTTTTTCTTCTTTTTTTAAACAGGTCACTCTGCCACCCAGGCTGGAGTGCAGTGGCATGATCTGGCTCACTGCAACCTCCTTCTCCTGGGTTCAAGTGATTCTACTGCCTCAGCCTCCGAGTAGCTGAGACTACAGGCGCCCACCACCACACCCGGCTGATTTTTGTATTTTCAGTAGAGACGGGGTTTCCGCCATATTGGCCAGACTGGTCTCGAAATCCTGACCTCAGGTGATCCACCCTCTTCGGCCTCCCAAACTGCTGGGATTACAGGCGTGAGCCACCACACCAGGCCTCATTGTTTTTTGATTGATGACATGCCATACATTTACCGATCTGCCAAAAATTGTAGAGGGATGCACAGAATCCAGCATTGTGTCTTGTTTAATCTTCTCAATCATCCTGTAAATTGAGTGTTACTAGCCCTATTTTAACGTAAGGAATCAAAGGCTCAGCAAAGTTATGTAAGTAAATTTCTCCAAATCAGCTAGAACTTGGATTGAAACCGAGGTCTATTTGACTCCAAAGCCATTGATTTTCTTTCTATATCTCAAGTATTGAGTGTCCATAATTTATACTTTTTCAAACAATAGAATGCTACAAGAAATCCACAGGCTTGGGCCACTGCTCTCACAGACCTACTTTATATAATTACCATCTTGTTGCTTGTCAGACCTGCAGTATTCCAAACTCCTGACTTGAATTTCTGACTCCAGTTTCCCCCAGTTCTAATTATTTCTCTGTACCACTCACTACCGATGAGTTTTCTAAAATGTTTGGTTTTGTCATCAACATCTTCCCCTCTAAATCAGGTCCCCCTTTCCCTGCAATTCTTATCTAGCCATTTAAAACTCTCTCTTATCCTGCTTCTTACCTTTCCCAGCTTATCTCCCACTTCGCTCCCAGGAAACCCTCTCTGTAGTCAAACAGGTCTACTCACAGATCCCTGCTTCGTTCTCACCTTTCAGCCTAACCGAAATCCCCACTCCTCTGTGGGTTAAGTCCCACCCTTCTCTCAAAGCCTAATTAAATTAAAGTCCTTGTCCTCTGCCAAGACTTAGCTGTGTGTTACAGTGGACAGAGAAAAGGACTCAAGGTTCTTGGCCTGGCTCTGCCACTTAGCTATTGGGTAACTTTGGGCAAGTCACTAAAACATCCATCCCGAATCTCAGTTACCTCCTCTTTAAAATAGGGCTGACAATACCTATGTTAAAGGTTGTTATAAGGATTGAGATTGTACAGATGTGTAAACATGTGGTTATACATGTCCAGTTAAATGCCTTTCCTGCCTTCCCAAACTCTGAAGAGCAAGCATCTTGCTTATAGGACCTCTTTATATTCCTTATACCCAATTCAAGGAAAAGGCTCAATAAAAATATAGGGCATGAGAAAATAGATCATTGTATCATTTCTATTCTCTTCCATTCTTTAAATGCAGTCTATCCCCAAATAATCTCTCAGACAAAAACTTTAACTGTTTCTTCTTGTTCTTTTTTTCCTCTCTCTTTCTCTCTTTTTATGCCAGAAGGGCCAGAGCCCTTCTGTTCTCCCACACCCCTACCCACCGTTCGTTCAACACCCTTAACTTCCTCAGATCACTTCTGGACCAACTACTTCACCTGTCTCTTAATTAACTACTGACCCTTCCCTGTCCCACAGTCAGGGACACAACTTGTCCATCAGTGTCTGTTGCCTGCCTTGCTCCCAGATGCCTTCAAACGGAGGCTGGGTGGCTACCAGCCATTCCTCCAGCCCTAGTCAGGACGGCTGCAGCCAGGCTCACATTTTTCCAAAACTACAGCCAGCCACAGGAGATGGGGGAGGGAATGTCCCACCCCCACAGAGATGGCAGGATAGAAAAACAGGAAGTCGCCTCCCATCCTTTCTGCAGCTGGAGTGATAACAGCTGCCATCCAGAATCCAGAAAACAAAAGACTCAAAGGGAAGGCTGAAAACGGGCCAGGTCTGGAGCAGTAACATTCAAGCTAGAGGTTACAGAGTGGGTGAGGGAGGAACCAATGGTTGAGATTTCAGCCTCCTTCTACCTCCCTTTAACCAGAGTTACAGCTCTTTTATCTGCTCTACATTTAGGCTTCACCATGATACTTCATTTTTTGAAGACAGTGTAACCCTTAAATAAACATACTGAAATCACTGGCCTCTGGGTGTCTTGGGGAAACTCCAAAAAAATCAGGATAGTGCAGCAGAAGCAAGACAGGATGCCTGATGAGCAGGTAGCCAGAACTTACTCCTCACTATCCCGGCTCCTGGCTGGCTTAGTGCAAATGATCATTTATGATTCCTATGATTTCAACGCTAATTTATTCTGTAGGTCTAGATATTTTCTGCCTAGTTATTCCTATGACTAACCTTACCTTTGGTAACTTTTTGCCAAAGAGTATCACTATTGCGGGGTAGGGAGCAAGAGACACTGCAGAGCAGGAGAACACCTGCTCAATTAGAACTTGAAATGGATCCTAAAAGTCATTTGATGCAACCACTATTAAAATGCAAGAAACCCTTCTTCAGCATTCCTTACAGGTAGCTTCCAACCCCTGCTTGAACTTATCTGGCAACCAGTAACACACAAAATAAGCAAGCAGCCCACCATTAAAGATCTTTCTCGGTTGGGCGTGGTGGCTCACGCTTGTAATCCCAGCACTTTGGGAGGCCGAGGTGGGCGGATCACCTGAGGTCAGGAGTTCGAGACCAGCCTGACCAACATGGAGAAACCCCGTCTCTACTAAAAATAGAAAAAAAATTCGCCAGGCGTGATGGCGCATGCCTGTAATCCCAGCTACTCGGGAGGCTGAGGTGGGAGAATTGCTTGAACCTGGGAGGCTGAGGTTGCGGTGAGCCGAGATCGCACCATTGCACTCCAGCCTGGGCAACAAGAGCAAAACTCCATCTCAAAAAAAAAAAAAAAGGGATCTTTCTCATATCCATCTGGATCCTGCTTTACTGACTTTCTCCCCAAAGACATCTGTCTTGTGTCTCATTTAATCCTCACAAACATCCTGTAAGGTAAGTGTTATTAGCATCATTTTGACATGAGGAATCACTCTCCAGGGTTATACAAGTAAATTGCTCCAGATTCCCCCAGAACTGGGATTGAAACCAAGGTCTATTTGATTCCAAACCTATTTTGTCTTTCTGTGTCTGAAGCATTGATTGTCCACAATTTACACTCTCACTTCTGCCCTTTGCAGTAACAGAACAAGCTGACTCTTTAGTTACACCATCCCCAAATCTGAGCAGGCTTGAGGACACCTCCCTTTCTTTGGATGCAGGTACCAGAAGAGGCTCACCCTACTCATCAAATCCACAGCATTTGCCTGTCTGGTCTTTACAGGCTTCCAGCTGCAGCTCTCTAAAGCACAACCCTGATCACTCCTGACTCTAAACACTTAAATGAGTCTCCCTTTACCAAGGAACAAAACTCATCAAACTTTCTTGACTGGTGTCCAAAAGCCTTCACATCCTTGCCCCCAACTTACCTTTCTGAACTTATTTTCGACTCTTCTTCATATGCCCACACTGCATGCACTGCATGACTTTGCACCCATATTTCCTAATAATACATCCTCACTGTGATTTTTGCCTGTTTCTACAAAAATCTACCTCACAGTGTTGTTGCAAGGATCTGACAAGATGTCATATGCAAGATGACAGAGCACCTTGCCTGACACATCATAGGTGATAAGCAAACATATTTTCCTTTTTCCTACAACATAAAACAATTGTACTATAATTTTTATAGGTGCCTTATGTTCCTTTCTGGCTCCAAGTTTCTTACAGTCCTCAAGAACAGAATGCTAATTTATTTCATCTTTACATCCTTTGTAGGATCTAGAACCATGTTTTGTCCCATAGACATTGATTAAATATTCACTGAATGAATAAGTGAATGAATGCTGTCTTTTGCTTGAAACTCATAACCTGCTATGGTCTAGGTCTTCAGAAGTTCAGGAATAACTTGACCAGACTGATCACAAAGGATCTGGGTGCCTCCAGTTGTTGTTATCCCAGTCACACTGCCAAACACAGAGTGGGTTAAACACATGGTATAAATCATGAACCCAAATCCAAATCAAACAAGCTTAGCTTTAGAATTCCTTCTAAAGGAAATTACTGCTTATTCTGTCTGATCCTAAGCGTGGCATTGGTGATAATCCAGACGTTATTTTAATATCCTTTCATTGAATACTAAGCCACTACCTAGCTATCACCATTGACATCATTTCTGAATCCAACCCTCCTCCCCATTCCCTTCTTGCCCATAGAGACAGGTTAGAAATAGGCACAATATCTTGCTCCAAGTGGGGAGTCTTATTTTAATCACTTTTTCCTTACAACCCAATTGTGCTGGTTATTCTCTGGTTACCCACCAGATACATCTAAAAATCTAGTTACATTCAACTTACTCATTTTATTAGTCTATTTATAAGTTGAAAAATTTTAATTAAAAATAAGGATAATTGGTTTTCATGGTCTTTGATTAATGTTCAACGAATGACTAAACTAAACAAATTACATTCTCTTCAACAATTAACCTCATTACAAACTTCCTTAATTGAATCTCCTAAAAAGTATGTCTGGTTTCTGTATTCTGAGACAGGTCAACAAGATAGGGAGCCAGCCTTTTCAATACACAGGAGCAATTCCTGTTTTTCATTGCATGTAGGTGATCTGCATAATGTTTGCCCCAAGCAGCCCAAGCCTTTCTACAGCTGTCAAGCCTTTGGGTGGGAGAGCCCCGCCATCCTTCCTATCAACATGCACTGTGCATTGGCCTCTTCAACGTCTTAGGAACACGCCCAGTAACAACAGAGCATTACTCAAAACCAGTAAGTCCCCCCTTGATTTCCACCTGCCACAATATTAAATAGGGCTCAGTTTTAAAATAATACGTCGTGGCTCACTACTGATCAAAATTTACCCAACTTGACATTCCCTGGACCAGTGCCATATATACAATTCCGAGGCTTCAGACTGATCCATTAATTTCTACTTCACTCACCTGTCACCTAAACAATCATTAATTTATTGTCTGTTTAGTCTTTCCTAATATTTAACTAGAATTCTTTTACTTAACTAGAACTTACATTTTAAAATGGCAGGTTAACTTTAACCCAGACACTTCTGTCAAAGAAGACTAAGAGAAATAAATTTTAGCTAAAACAGATGTAAGATGATGATGGAAAAATTGGCTTAAACAAATGCTTTCATTGAAGAAATTTTCCTGGCATGTTGAAACAAGTTGCTGATAAATCTTCAGGATATAGCATCTATCTCCCAAGTCCCATAAAAATTAGATTCTCTGCTACTTTCCCTTGCTCTTCCAGAGTCTATCTTCAGAAATTCCTTTCCACTGAAGGATGCTGACTGTGCAACATCTGAATTGCCAGATAATCAGTACTGTGGTTTGTTAAACTAGCCAGGGTATTAAGGAAGCAATGGGAAAGGATCCCAACTATCACTTTAGTATGTCTGTCTTTTTTTTTTTTTCTTTGAGACAGTGTCTCGCACTGTCACCTGGGCTAGAGTGCAGTGACGTGATCTCGGCTCACTGCAACCTCCGCCTCCCAGATTCAAGCAATTCTCCTGCCTCAGCCTTCTGAGTAGCTGGGGTTACAGGCACCCACCACCACACCCAGCTAATTTTTTGTATTTTTAGTAGAGATGGGTGTCACCATGTTGGTCAGGCTGGTCTCGAACTCCAGACCTCATGATTTGCCCACCTGGGCCTCCCAAAGTGCTGGGATTACAGGCATGAGCCACCGTGCCCAGCCAGTATGTCCGTCTTTTAAAGGCTTTAAACCTCTTAATCTTATTTCACTTTAATTTCCATTCGATCCTAAACGGCTTGAATTCTGAATTATACATAATGTAATAGCCATATTAGTGCCTTTTACATTCATTTCTGAAAAAAGGTCATCACCCATTTCTGAATAAAAGAAAGTGTAAGAAATATCACCTCTTCTTTGGTAAAATTAGTTAAGTGTGTGCTCTGAGTTATAAGACCCAGCATCATTTGACAGTTTTGAGCTTCAGTTTCTTCATCTGTGATTGGGATGTCATTAATGCAAACAAACTAAAAAAGGGTGTTCCATGAAACTCTGATGCTGCTAACTCCACAACTTCCTTCTGAGAGTCCGAAATGGCTCTGTATACCCAGGATTCCTCGGCAACCTTCCTACGACACTTCAATAGCACTGATTGAAGCATGGATTCCCACCTGAATGAAGACAGCCAGGTATAAACTTGTCAATGGCCTGGGGCAAACAGGCACAGGAACTGTTCAGCAGAGATCTGTACTGAACACCCACTAACGGGGCCATGTATATCTTCCCTCAAGACATTTAATATGACACATTGAATATGTCTAGAAAACCAGACCATAGAGTAGAGCAGAAGCAAGGAGGCACATGGAATAAAGGTCATAAACAGAATGAATACAGGTCATGCACAGAATAGTAAGTAGAAGCATGAGGTCTAGAAGATGAAATCAGAAGAAAGTAGACAGGAGCTGAAGTAAAACATAAAGCAGAAAAGGGTGGCATGTGCTGAGAGTCACACCTAGAAAAAGCAGTAGTCAGGAGCCATGAGGTGGTGGATGCCACAGGGGTGGTGGACGCTAGCTACTGAAGGAATCAAAAATAGGACAGCAATAATTAAAATGGTAATGATGATAGTGAACACATGCCGATTTTTGTGTATCAGGTACTACAGGTTGAGCATTTCTAATCTGAAAATCTGAAATTCAAAATGCTCCAAAATCTGAAATTTTGAGTGCCAACACGACGCTCAAAGGAAATGTCCATTGGAGCAATTCGGATTTCAGATTTTTAGATTAGGGATGCTGGCAAGTTACTTATAAGAACCTGTAAGTAAAATCCAAATATTCCAAAATCTGAAAAAAAAAAAAAAAATTGAAATCCTAAACACTTCTGGTCCCAAGCAGTTCAGATAAGGGAGACTCGAACTGTATTTTAAATGCCTTTAAATATATTACCTTCAACCCTGTTTCCACTTTGCAGATGAGAAAACCAAGCCACAGAGAGCTTAAGTAACTTGTCCATGGTCACATAACTAGGAAGTAGCATAATACAACCGAGTTTGGCAGTACAGTCTGTGCTGAGAGAGAAGCTCAGCCGTAAGAATAATAGACTAGTAGATTCACTCTTGAATCCCGGACTGTGCTCCAGTTCTCATGAGGCTTGACGGTTCAGTGGTTTTCCTGCATTTCCTCCCTTCCTCAGGTAGTCTCACACTAAATTTCTATCACCTGAGGTAATCTGAATACTTTTAATGCCTTACGACTTGAAAGCGCTTAAGGAATGCCGTGACTTTAAACGAGATAATAAATGTGAGAGCATTTTACCTTCCCTGAAAAAAATAGAGCAGACAAAGTGAAGTGTTTTATTCTGAAGCGAGGTGAAAGTTCTTAATGTATAATCTGGTGATCAAGATTAAGTTTGCCTCTAAATCATATTACATTGTGACATTACTTTAGGTCAACCTCAGTCTGTCTTGGTGGTATATTTTTGTCACACATTGTGGGAATTTTAGAATGTATTAGTTTACAACATATAATTATCATTGCATATTAATTAAATATCATTATATTAATTACATGGCCCTGTTCTACTTCATTCCTTCCCTAAGCAACTAGCATGAAGAAGCTATGATTACAAGGGCAATGAACAAAGGGCCAAAAGAAAAGAAGCTTGAATATTGTTTTATCTTTCTACAGACTCTCATATCAGCAGCCAGATCACTTAGGGTCTTGAAGGAGTTTAGATTTATTTATTTTAACTATAATGAGAACAGAGTCAGGACATAGCATATCTCATGTTACTAAAATCAAAACAAAAACAAAAAAACAGGCCGGGCACGGTGGCTCACGCCTGTAATCCCAACACTTTGGGAGGCCAAGGCGTGCGGATCACGAGGTCAGTAGTTTGAGGCCGGCCTGACCAGCCTGACCAACATGGTGAAACCCCGTCTCTACTAAAAATACAAAAATTAGCCAGGCGCGATGGCGCACGCCTGTACTCAAGAGGCTGAGGCAGGAGAATCGCTTGAACCCAGGAGGCGGAGGTTGCAGTGAACTGAGATCATGCCATTGCACTCCAGCCTGGGCAACAGAGTGAGACTCCGTCTCAAAACAAACAAACAAAAAACTTCCCTCAATCAACCCTATTTCACTTTTATTGAGTTACATTTATGAGAGTAACCAGTAGTATAAGGAAAGATGCTGCTTCTTATAGGACTGGTTTGTAAAGTTCTGAGCTTTCCTATCAAAAGGGCAATCAATGGATATCGTGACTTAGTGATTCCATCTGTTACCCACACAACAGGTAGATTTGGTCACTGGGCAGGTGTTAACCCAATGACCACAACCAAGGAGGATTTAACAAGGGGATTTTAAAAATTAATGTAACACATAAGGAGAACAGGACTAGTTCCCAAAGCATTGACTCTCTTAGCTGGGGGCTGAGCCAGGTTTTATAACCATAGGGTAATGAGGTGTGATCTGATTGGATCTTGCAATGAGGTAATGTCGGGAGGCATGATCTGACTGCTTCCTGCCATCGGGACACCAGAACTCGATTTGATTGGATCCTGCATCCGGCCGTGAGGTGTCTACTTCTTAATTCAGTCTCCAATCCTCCTTCTGAGCATTTAAGTTCACTCTGTTGTTGCACATTTAGTTCATCTGGGCATGCTCTGGTTACATGACCTGACATCTGTTGAGACAGAAAAACAGCTCACAGCTTTGTTACATAAAAGTTGAACCCAATTGTTCTGGGGTGGCTACACATCATCATGTTAAGAAGGAAAAGATTTGGACCCTAGATTCAGCCCCCTTTGGGAGAGGTTGAATTGCAAAGAAGAACTGCTAAGATTTCTTCTGTTCACTATGCTATGAAATCTACCAAAATACCAGCAGAAGATTCAGTTAGAACTTTGTCTTATACTAAAGATTATTGCCATATAATATTATTGTTTGGAAAAGCTTTCATGTTGGGAGTTTTATTCTAATCCATTCAAACTCCTGGTGTCTAAATTATTTTAGAAGATAATAAATATGTCAAATAAAATAATTGCCTCCTTTCAAAATGTCACTCAGAATCCTCTGGCTTTCTTTACCTTCTAATGTGGATTAATCTTATAAGGATCAGCTTTATTTATTCTATCCTATTTTAGACATCAGGGTTGTGTTCGGTTGACTTCTAAAGCTTTATTTATTTATAGAATAAAAGGGTCATATGTGTGGAAATAATAACACTTTTGTCAGAAAGTCAGGCAACAACACAGATGCTCTGGAGTCCAAATGCCACTTGCAGTGGAGCATACTTCCTGGGTAGCAGGCAAGAGAGAAGGAGGAGAAGAAAAAAGTCACTTGCCCTGGAGCAGAGACCCTCAGACTATAAACAAGCAAATCATCAAACAATCTGCATTGTTCGCCCCAGCAGAATCTCTCAGCTTTAAAATATCCATGCTCTCTCCTCCCCATCTCCACTCTCTCTTCCCACTGACTAATGGCTCATTGACCGTAAATGGCGAAAAAGAAAACAAACTATTCTTTCTTGTGATCCTGGAACTCAACCCAGGCACGACAATTAATGTCAAACTTTGAACACCTTTCTGGGTTGCCCTTTCATGTACTCTGAAAGCTTCGTCCTAGAATCTGATTTAATCTTCCCAACAGCCCTAAAAGTAAGTGCAATTATTACCCCCACTTTCCAGATGACAAAGCTGAGGCCTAGAACCAGAATCGGCTCCATGGGTGGGTAACACGTGCAGTTGCACAGGGCTGCTTAGAGTGGTCCCCATACTTGGTTTAATGCTTGACTGTTGCTGTCTTGAAATTCTTAGAAACTTTTAAACAAGGGAACCCACATTTTCATTTATGCTGGACCCTGAAAATTATGTCACTTATCCTGCCTAGAAGGGTTAAGTAACTTTCCTGGGGTCCCTGGATTAGTTTGCTTGGGTTATCATAACAAAGTCCCACAGGTCAGGTGCCATAAACAACAGAAATATATATTCTCATGGCTCTGAAGGCCAGCAGGCCAACATCAGTGTCAACGCAGGTGGTACCTTCTTCTGAAGCCTCTCTTCTTGTCTAGTGGATAGCTACCTTCTCTCTGTCACTTCACATGGTCTTTGGGATGAAGGCCCACCCTCTTGGCTTCATTTTAAATTAATTACCTCTTTAGTTGTCATTTCATAATTGTTTGTAATAAAAATGGAAAACAAAAATAAAGAATAAAAAAAAACTTACTCAAGTCAATGTAGCTAGTATGTCATAGGGCTGGTTTGTCTACCTTGAAAGTTAATATAATTTCACTCCATCAGAAATTTCTTTAGAAAAATATGAGAAAGGTACATTTTCAAAATTAATAACTTTAATGAAACTGTATAAGAATGTCTCCAACAGTAGCAGAAAAAAATCAGAATATTTTATCTTTTAGTGGACAATTATCTAGGCAAGTTAACACACTGTTTAAGGCTAAAGACTGAAATACATATGACACATACATATCTTAAATTATATATGTCTTTATTTTCATTCATTATTTCCCCTAAATCATTGTATGGTTTTTTGGAGACATTATGAATTAGATTATTCAGGTGCTCAGCCAACTTTCTCACAGTGTTTCCATTTATGTAGCATTTGGATGGATTATTATCACCATACTTTCTTCCTAATGTCTTATGATAACTTAGTCAAGGTTGTGGGTTTTATGCCGGCATGAAATTCAGATATTATAAATCTGAGCTATTCATTCAGTAACCTTAATGTGGAGGCAAAGATGCTGACTGATCACTTGTGTAATGATCTACTGCATTCATTCTCCATGATCCATTTGTTTCACTCCTAAAACCAAAATCTTTTTTTTAAAAAGGAATCATTTGACACTAGCCGATGTTGAATTTCAGCTTTGCAGTTTTCTGTAACTTGAGAGCATATAAAATATACAATGAAGGGTTATTAAAAATAAATCAAACATCTTAAAAATAAAAATAAAAAATAAAAAAATTTAATTAATTACCTCTTTAAAGACCCTATCTCCAAATACATTCACGTACCAGGGGTTAGGACTTCCACATATGAATTTGACAGTGACAAAATTCTGCTCATAACCCACAGCCACTAAGTGGAAGAACCAGTACGCTTTTTTCCCTTCACTATGTTCTATTTGTCTTCATGAAATACCAGTGTGCATATGTAAGAGCAACTCTTCTTATCACTGGTTGGAGAAGCAGAGGCACAGAAAGGTCACTACTTGCTATTGTGAACAAAATGGCAATACAGGGAATATGTTAGTGACAGTCCTGGGACTAAATCTCAGCTCGCTTGATGCTAAATCTACTGCTAGGCCAGTATTGCTTTTCACAACCTACACACACAGACACGGATGCCAGAAAAAACTGTGTCTCTCTGCAATTATAGGTTCTTGGGCTGTCTGCCTTTGGTAGATTTCAAAATAGCACAGTTGATTCTGTTTCCAGCCAGGAAAAAAAAACATCATTACTCTTCTACTCACAAGCATACAAAGACACCTCTGTGGAATGAATCCAGCATACTGTATCCTAGCCTCTTTATCTCATTTTTGGCTGGCTCCAAGTATGACCAGTCAGCAGTGAGAAGAAAGTTTGCTGAGATAACCAAGGCTTAAGGTAACTCATTTAAATGATAAAACAGGAAACTCACTTCTAGTTTGGACCTGGATTGCATTTTAATGTGAACAGATCTGGAGTCTGGAACTGAAGACTTGGAATCGTACAATTATATTAAGTGACAAGGAAGGGAAGGAAGGAATTTCTTTTGAAGAGTTCTTGGGTGACAGCTGAGCAGGGAGAAGCATTTGTTACGCTGTGGCTTTTGAGTGGAGGGCGAAGGGTGGCAGATCAGGGAGAGAATATTCTGGTCCTAGTCCTGGCTCTGGCACAAACGTTGGGCAACTGACTTTACCTCTCCAAACCTTAGTTTCTTTTCTGCAACATGATGCTTTCAAATCCTATTTATCTCTCAAGTTTGGTGCGACCAGTGGGGTGTAGTAAGTGTTCTTTGTACAAACAGGAGAGCATGACATACAATTTTTCATTTAAATTCAGTTCCCAGTTATTGTAATGTGATATTTTATAATACATTACTTTAAAATAATTTTCCCTTATGATTAAAACATTGTACATCAGTGGGGAAACCAGACAATACCTTGACCAGGTGATCAAAATTAACATCACCAATGAGGGGCAGATGGACTTTGTATACTTCCGGAGATGATATCCTGAAAAGAACTCAACACCACTTAGGTAACATTCTGGCCAAAAATGCATAATCTGAATCTAATCCTGAATAAGCATCAAACAAACCCAAACTGATAGACATTCTGGAAAATAATTGGCCCTACTGTTAGAACATGTCAAGGGCATGAAAGACAAAGAAAGGTTGAGAAAGTCATCCAGATAAAAGGACATTACAAAGACTTGACAAGATTCCTAATACAAGATCCTAAACTAGATCCTACATGGGAAAGAATTTCTATAAAGACAGCATTGGAACAATTGACAAAATTAGAATGTAGGTGGTAGACTAAAGTAATGTATCAATGTTAAATTTCCTAAATTTTACAGCCATATCATTGATCTGTAAGAGAGTATTTTTTGTTCTTAGGATATACACTTCCAAGTATTATAAAGAAAAGAGAATGGCAACATAGCAAGACCCTGTATAGAAAAATAAAAAATAGAAAAAATAGAAAATAGAAAAGAAAAAAACAGAAAAATAATAGAAAAGAAAAGAAAATTAGCCCAGTGTGGTGACCTGTAGTCCTAGCTACTCAGGAGGCTGAGGCAAGAGGATTGCTTGAGCCCAGGAGGTAGAAGCTGCAGTAAGCCATGATTGCACCACTGCACTCCAGCCTGGGTGACAGAGTGAGACCCTGTCTTTAAAAAAAGAGAAAGAGAGAGAGAGAGAGAATGATATATGCAGACTTTCAAA
Organism: Homo sapiens; assembly: GCF_000001405.40. Lineage (NCBI taxonomy): Eukaryota > Metazoa > Chordata > Mammalia > Primates > Hominidae > Homo > Homo sapiens. The sequence continues at coordinate 27,510,098 of NC_000012.12, read as the reverse complement.
TGACTCAGGAAAAATTATAGAGACAGGGAAATTAATTTAGCAAATGTGGTAAATGTTAAATATTGGTGAATCTACATAAAGTGTATATGGGAATTTCTCATTCTAGTCTTGCAAATTTTCTGTTAATTGTAAGAATACTTTTTAATACAAAGGCTTTTAAAAAGTTAAGCCTGACATGATGGCTCATGTTTGTAATTCTAGCACTTTGGGAGGCCAACGCAGGTGGACCACTAAAGCCCAGGAGTTCGAGACCAGTCTGGGCAACATAGTGAGACCTAATCTCTAAAACAAATGTTAACAATGTGCCAAGCATGGTGATATGTGCCTGAGGTCCCAGCTACACAGGAGGCTGAGGTGGGAGGGATCGCTTGAGCCTGGGAGGCTGAGTTGGGAGGGATCACTTGAGCCTGGGAAGTCAAGGTTGCGATGAGACATGATCATGCCACTGCACTCCAGCCTGGGCAACAGAGTGAGACCCTGTCTCAAAATAAATAAATAAAGTTAAAACATTCACTGCATAAATTTTTCTGAAGAAGAAAAGTCACTTACAATCCTACCATCCAGAGAAGACTGTTCACTTTTTGTGTGTACTTGATTTCTCTAGAAGAACGAGTTATTTGGTGGCAACTGAGCAGCATGAGCATTTGTTGTGCTTCAGCTCACAGGTGCAGTGGAGGGGGAAAAGAGGCAGATCAGTCCTGGTTATTCGTTTGTTGGGGCCTGTAATCTAGTCTGATCAGGTGGTTCCCAGGAGGAAGTCAGCCTGGAGCTTCTGGGAAAAGATTTTCTCCCACTCTTTCCTTCTGTTGCATAAAAATGTTTGGAGCCACGGCAGCCACCTTGGGACTATGACGGGAGAGCCAAGAGAATGGAAGAAATGGTGACTCAGAGCAATGACACCATTGAGCTGCTCAACTAACCAACCCTGGAACCACCCTCGCTGTGGATATTTTGCCACATGAGATAATAAGTGTCCTTATTCTTTAATCCAATATAATTTAGGTATCCTGTTACAGATAAAAGCATCTCAACTGTTAAACCTCTACTTTTATAGAAGTTACTGCAACCACTTGCTTTGCTTGTTTATCAACACATGCAGCAAAAGCCCTTCCAAAGGGAAAAAGTCATGAGACAAAATCTGATTTTTGAGCATATGGCAGTCTCACCAGCCAGAAGCTATTGGGACAGGCAGTGTGAGCTCCTACCCAGAAGGTGGGAAAGGAAGCCAACATAATGCTCTGGAATGGAGAGGCCTTCAGTACTAGAAAAAGTAACTGGACTTTAGGCTTGAAGAGAAGATTCAGTTTGGGGATGAAGTGGAGAAAGCAGAAAACGTTGTAGCCCCTGAAGTAGCTCACATCCAAGCTGGGTGGAGAGTGAGGCCATTGGCCGTTCCTTGACTATGTCAATGACCTTTGCATCTATATTGCTTCTGGGAACAGTGGTCAGTGGCAGAGATGATGCCAGAGATGGCCAGGGTTGCAGGTGGTTTCCAAAACCTGTAGCACTGGTGAAAGCTGCACTTGATATTGAATAAATGTTAGTTCATTGATTCATTAATAATTTTTGTTTGCTTGCTTGTTTTAGAGACAGGATCTCACTCTGTCACTGAGTCTGGAGTGCAGTGGCACAATCATAGCTCACTGCAGCCTCGAACTCCTAGGCTTAAACGAGCCTCTCACCTCAGCCTTCTGAGTAGCTAGGACTACATGCACCTGCCTTCATTCCCAGCTGGTCATTCACAAATATTTTGTGAACATTTACTATCTTCTAAGTAGTGTGCTATATGCTAAATATGCAGGGCTTAACATGGCATTGTTCCTGCTTTCATAGAACGTACAATCCAATTTGGGGAGGCTGCATGTCACTTGAAAAGGACACAGATATTGCAGCCAGATAAATCTAGATTCAAATCCTGATGCTACCTTTTACAGTGGGACTCTAAACAAGTTACTATCCTCTGTGCCTCAATTCTCTCATGTATAAAAATGGGGATAATGATAATACCTGGCTTATAAAATAATTGTGAGGATTAAATCATAAAATGTGCATGAAGTACTTAACACAGTGCATGAAACATACTAATGTTTTTAAAACAACATGACTGTTGTTAGTTATTACATATTATTGTTATGTGTATATCTAGCCCATTTCCTCCCTCCTGGTTACCTACCCCTTTTAAACCTTGACCCCCTCATCCTGGGTACAACTTATTCCTTTTCCTCTTTAGCCTTTTAGCATTCAGACATGTTTTCGGATATTTTGTATATAATGTGATGTCTATATAGTCCTAGTTTAGTCTATGCTTTTGTGGAGCTTACATTTTCATGGAAAGAGACAGATAAACAATAAACCTAATAAGTAAATTATATATTATGGTAGAAGTCATGACAAAAAATAGAACAGGGCAGGTTTGGGAGAGGTGGGATGGGGATGGGAGGAATGCAATTTTAAACATGATGGTTATACGAGCCTCATTAAGAAGACGGCATTTTAAAATTCACTATTTTAAAGTGTACAATTCTGTGGTTTTTAGTGTAGTCACAATGTTGTACAACCATCAACAGCATGAAATTTCAGAATATGTTCATCATTCCAAAAAGACACTCCAAACCAATTTGTAGTCACTCTTCCCGACCTCTGACAGCCATTCTTCTGCCTTGTCTCTGTGGATTTGCATATTCCAGACACTTTATATAAATGGAATCACTCAATCTGTAGAATTTTGTGTCTGGTTTCTTTCACTTTACATAATGTTTTCCAAGGTCACCCAGGTTGTAGCATGTATCAATACCTCATTCTGTTTTGTGGTTGAATAATAACTCTATTGTATCAGTACACCACATTTTGTTTATCTATTCATCAGTTGATGGATATTTGGTTTGTACTTTTTGACTATTATGAATGCTGCTGCTATGAACATTCACATACAAGTTTTTATGTGGATATATATTTTCAATTCTTTTGGATATATACCTAGGCATGGAATTGCTGAAGGTATATGGTAACTCTATGTTTAATTTTTTGAGTAAGTGTTTTCCACAGTGGCTGTATTATTTACATTCCCACCAGCAATATAATAGGATTCTAATTTCTACACATCCTCACCAACACTTAGTATTATCTGTCTTTTTTATTACAGCCAAGAAGATAACCTTTGAGCCAAGATTTGAAAGTACTGTGGGAGTAAGCCATGGAGAAGAGACTTCCAGGCAGAGGGGCTGGCCCAGGCAAAGCCCTGGTGACCAGAGTGTGCCTGATGTGTTCCAGGAACACCAAGATGAACAGTGGAACTTGAGAAGCGTGATCGAGAGGACAAGTAGAATAGGATGAGGCTTGAGCCAACAGAAGGCAGTGGCCAAATACAAGTAGTTGAAAGGACTTTGGCATTTACTTTGAAAGAAATGGAAAACCACTGAAGGGGTTTGGAGCAGAAAGGTGACATGATTTGACCTGCATTATAAAAGAGTGTCACTCTGACTGCTGAATTGTATGTGGGCAAGGGTGGAATCAGGAGAACGAGAGCAAGTTGGTTGGTTTTTGCAACAATGGTGACATGCAAAGGTGGTTGCTATCAGGGAGGTGGTGAGTAGCAGTTGAATTCTGCATGTGTTTTAAGCAACAAGATTTCCTGACAGACTGAGAGTGGAATATGAAAAAGGAAGGAGTCAAGCAAGACTTCATGGCTTGTTGTTCACTTATTTTTACTTTAAGATATATCAGGAAGTGTGTTCAAATTCATTTCTTCACTATTAGGTCAAACCCAAAGTTCTTAATTAAGGCAATCTCACACGTTTAAAAATATTATTCATGGTAATAATAATAATACTCAAAACCTATTAAACATCAGGCTCTTTAATCCAGCAATCTCATGAGGCAGGTATTATTTTTCTCAATTTATATATGAGTAAACAAAATCGTGAGAAATAACTGGCAGCTCCCCTAATTTTTGTCCCTGCTTCCAACATAGGATCAACTAGAGAAAGTCAAATATGCACCCCCTAATCAATCACCTGGGATGTCCCAATCAGGGCTTATCCAACCTTGCCTTTTTCCCACTCTAAAGCTTTCCCACTCCTCTGCCTGCCTTTGAGTCTCTGCCAAAATGCAACTGATGGACTCCTTTGTTATTGCAAGCTCTGAATAAATAGCCTCTGCTTGTTCTCATTTGACTGTTCTTTATTTCCACAAGTGTCTTAGGTAATGTTCTCTGGGAAAAGGACTCTGAGACAAAGACTTGCACACAGGTTTACTGGGGGACACTCACAGGGTGGACAAATGTGGAGGGGATGGTAGAAGCAGAATGGGGCAGATGGAGATGAAATGTGATACAATTGCACTAGAGGCCTCAGCTGACCCCACCAGGAGCTCTGCGGCTAGGATGGCCCTCTAAAAAGGTACCCTGGGTTAGGCATTGGATGCAGACCACCCTTAGGGAAGGAGAGGAAGCTTAGGTTAGACAACTGTCTTTGACTAAGGCCAAGTCCAAAGTAGGGTCTTGCTATGAACTCTCAGCAGATGGGGAATGGTTGTTTGGATCCCCCTCCAGGGAGAGAGATTAGCTGACCCCATCCAAACACAGTTGACAGTGGATCATGTCTTGAACCCAACTTTAAATCCAAGTTCAAAGCTCCTTTCACTACAGCATAGCTGTCTTCACCTAAAAACATGACAAATGGAGATTTTGTGAAACTCATGTTCTTTCCTCTTAGTCCAAAACCAAAAACATATTTATGCAGTGATTCAGACATTTTTAGCAAATGGTTTAGAGTACAGCAGTTGGCTCAATTGAATATGGCATTAAAATATCTGAAATAAAACCCGACCTGACCAACCAAAAGCAGTTAGCTGAGTTACCACACGTAGACATTCATACCCTCTTAATATTTCCATATGTTACTAAATGTTTCCCTCTCTCAATAGAGTACTGTGACTTCCAGCTTCCCAGCTTGAGATGCTGATGAATTGAAAACAAATTGATGTGAAAATATTACCATTCCCACTTCAAAGATATTCATCTCCCAGGGAAAAGTATCCCATCTTAGTCAAAATCCTAATCAAATATGTCTTGGAAGTTAGTAAAATATTAATTTATTCTTTAAAACAATCTAGTCCTCTAACTTACTTTGTCTTTAGTGTTATGTGACTATCACAAGATTTTAAGCTTTATTGAACTCACTACTTCTTTTTGGGATTTACGGGTAAATCAACCAGTACTGTTTCTAGTTATGGGAACTTACCTGATGATTATAAAAAACATACACCAAGTTCTATCTATAAATTTGTCTGAATAGTCCTTGTATCTGTAAACAAGATAACTGTGACTTTTTAAGATCTGTCAGCATAGTCCCTATCACAAGACCTTTTGAATATGTTAGTCATTGCTCCCAGAGCTTTTGGCTCTTTGCCTTTCTGTGTGTCCTGGAAATTCCTTTACGCTCACCCTTTCACCCTGCTCCCAAAGAACCTTGATTAACCTTGTATGGGATCTCAGCTAATTTGTAATCCCAGGTACCTTTTGCCCATAGAGCATGGTGTTCTTAAACTTTGAGTTATAAGAATTGTTAGGGGAATCTATTAAAATAGAGGATATCAGAGATTCATACCACATTTAAAGAATCAGAACTTCTGGAGGTGATGCTCAGACAAATGTAGAATTAAATGCCTCTTTTTGGAATTCTGTTAAATATCACAGCTTGAGAACCACTTGCAAACAAATTGCATATTTCTAGCAACCAATACGCCCAGTTTTCTGGCTACAGAGTATCAGGATAAAAGTGATGATTGGAGTCCATTCTTTTCAGCAGCTGTGTACATAATGACAATCCATGGAAGTAGAAACAACAGGCTGGATTAGGCCAACAGTGATCCATCTCTATGGTAAGACCTATTAAAAATGTTAACTAAATAAATGCAAATAATAGGGCTGATCTAAGAAAAATATCTGTAGAAGAAATTGGCATGGCCAAGTGATTGCTAGAACACAAAAATAAGATAGTAAAGGAGTTGAAAATTATTTCAAGGGTGTGGGAAGATGGGGGCATTGGAAAAATGGCTGTGATTGAAATTATTGAACAGATAAATATTGAATATAGGACTGAGGTGAGGTGATAGGGAGGCTGCAAAGATAAGAACCACATAGTTTAATTTACTTCAACGGGTATTTATCAAGTCCATACAAACTATGTGCACCGCATTTTCCTACAGTGTACCAAGGCATGGTTACCCAATTTGGATTTTTATTTTTAAAAATAAAGTTCCCGGGCCGGGCACAGTGGCTCACGCCTGTAATCCCAGCACTTTGGGAGGCTGAGGAGGGCAGATCACCTGAGGTCAGGAGTTTGAGACCAGCCTGGCCAACATGGTGAAACCCCGTCTGTACTAAAAATACAAAATTAGCTGGGCGTGGTGGTGCGTGCCTGTAATCCCAGCTACTTGGGAGGCTGAGGCAGGAAAATCGCTTGAACATGGGAGGCGGAGGTTGCAATGAGCTGAGATCGCACCACTGCACTCCAGCCTGGGTGACAAGAGTGAAACTCTGTCTCAAATAAATAAATAAAGTTTCTGGATCCTGCATTAGCTCTACTGAATCCAAATATCTGGGAATGGGGGAAGTCTCTAATGTATAAAGCTCCCCAAGAGATTCCAGTGCATCTAATCAATGGGCCAGCATTTGGGAATCACTATTCCAGAGACCAGAAACATGAATGAGGCATAGTGTTTGTTTCTAAAGACTGTACAAACTGGTATGGTGAGCTCTATGCTGTACCAGCTTTCCTAACTTTGTTTTATATTCCTGGCTTCTAAATTTTACTCATGGTTTTTCTTTTCTCTGAAATGCCTTTTTGTCATTTCTGCCATGAAAATATTATTCATCCTTCAAGATCCAGTCAAATATGAGAACTGGGACCGTATTGCATATCTCTTGGCCACCAGCCTTCCAACTCCACGTCCATTACACAACCAAATACCGTTAAGATCCAACCTCATAATGTCTGCTTCATTCATGGTCTTTGCATTTCCATCTCCACCTCTTTGGCTCACCTGTACCACTGAATGGCTTTTTAACTACTCTTGCACTCCATCTGCCCTCCTACTCTAATTTATTCTTTATGGTTCTATTTAATATTACTTTTGCACATTTTAATTATAACTTTTTTATATTAAAAATAAATGTTAGCATTTTCCCATTAGCTACAAAGTTAGGGATAAAACACTCTAGTCTGACATTCAAAATTCTCTATTGTATCAGTTAGACTTCCTTTGATTGTAAGCAACAGAACCAGTCTGGCTAATTTAAGCAGAAAAAGATACGGAGTGGTTTACAAAATCAAAGTTCTAATCATTTCCTTTTGATTTTGTGAATCTTCTTAAAATTCTCAGTTATAGAGAATGTCTGATGCAACAGTTTTCCAGCTCTTATTAATAAGAAGACAGGGGACATTGACTGAAAGACCGCCTATAATTAGGCCCGCTGGGGATAGTTCTTTCAAAGCAAACTTCGGGTGCTATTATCAAAAGAAGAAATAAATGTTAAGGAGAAAAGCCAAGAAATGCCAACTATCTCCAAAATAGGGCTCCAATTCAATTGAAGTAAAATTGGATACAGTGGAGGGGAAAGAATTTTATGCTTTCTTTTTTGAGACAACAGAAGTCAAAATGGAGAAGATAACCACGGGAGATAATACTTTGTGGTCTCAATGTACCCCATGTTGGGGGAGAAGGAAGGTTAGTGGTTTGAAGAAAATGTTTTCAACAAAGTGTGGAATGATTCAAGAAGGGATTGTGATTCATAAAGGTAAAGATAAGCTGTTTTCATTTTTTTTCCGTGATCAATCAACTTCTGTGTAATTACAACGTTCTTTACAAAAACCTTGTACGTTATTTTTTGAAAAATAAGTTAGCCACCACAATACAGGAACAGCCACAATGTTTACTGGTGAGAAAGTCAGTAGGGTGACAGTAACTTCTGTATCTTTAGGAGGGTAACAAGGCTTCCACTTCCAAATTCAAGAAAGGCTCTCTCATCTCCCGTAGGTCCCATGTGGTGCGGCACCCAAGCATTCTCAGAAGCACCCTTTCAAAGAGAAATGTAGCACCAAAAAATAGTATGTAACATAAAAGTCCAGTGACGGTGAGGACATCAAACATGATGAAAATCCTCAGTGCACGTTTCCTACAAAGAGAGAAAACATCTGTGTTAACCAAATTCTGAAAATAATCACATTGATAGGCTCCTGGCACCTCCACCCAGGTAGCTCTAAAACTTCAACTAAGTAATTTTCTCTTGACTTCAGTTTACATTTGTAAAAGCAGCAGCTTGGAATGGAGGAGCACTTATTTATGTTCATGCTAGGTCTGGCATTGGAATTTCAAGATCCTATAGCCATGAAACAATAAAATCCCTGGATAGTGTGGGGTTCTTTCCTTTGAAATGTCCTTCTCACATCCTAGCAGGTTATTGCAATCTTTACCTCACTCATGATGTATATGATGTCTCTTTTTGAGCAAACAAAGGCACAGGCAGTTAGATTTTCCCCAGGACACAAAGTATAACGTGATAAAGGGAATTCAGAGCTCTTTGCCCCTAGTTTTTGTCCTGGCACCAGACTTTTATTTGTAAAATAATAGAAGCTTTTTTTGTTTTGTTTTGTTTGTTTGTTTTTTTTTTTTTTTTTTTTTTGAGACGGAGTCTCACTCTTTCGCCCAAGCTGGACTGCAGTGGCGCTATCCCGGCTCACTGCAAGCTCTGCCTCTTGGGTTCATGTCATTCTCCTGCCTCAGCCTCCCGAGTAGCTGGGATTACAGGCGCCCACCACCACGCCCGGCTAATTTTTTGTATTTTTAGTAGAGACGGGGTTTCACCGTGTTAGCCAGGATGGTCTCGATCTCCTGACCTCGTGATCCGCCCGCCTCGGCCTCCCAAAGTGCTGGGATTACAGGCGTGAGCCACCGCGCCCGGCCAATAGAAGCTTTTTTAAATCCTTGAGGACCCATCCTTCTGGGTTGCACCTATGACATATTTTATTGATATGATTCTAAGTCCTTGCATTATTATTTTCTAGTTATAAATGTATTATATGATTAGGGCAGAAAATCCAGAAGAACACAAAGAAGAAATGTCATAGATCATCCAATTACCTGAGATAATTACCATCTATAATACATCAGAAGAGAAAATCTAGAGCATAGTTAAAGCTAGCCATGGATCGATTTTGTGACCTAACTCAGTGGTTTTATAAACCAGAGCCAAGTTTCTCGCCATTATCCCCACTGGCTATCACTTGGCAGTTACACACATAATTGCTTTCACTTCACACATTTATTAAAGAGCCAATGTTCTTAAGATACTCTATTAGGAAGGGGCTTAGAGAGCTGATAACAGGAAGCAGATGTGTCCTGCCTTCAAGGAGCACCAAAGGCAGATTTGTTCTTTCTTATGAAAAGAAAAACAACTCACTACGAAAACTATCTAGTAAATAAACACTGTTCCTCCTAAATTAAAAAACCAGTCATCTTTGGAAATACTAAACTATGACATTTTCAAAGAAACACATTTTAACATTAAGTTTTTGGAAAGTAAAACAAATTTTCTAAAGCAAAGATAATTTGGAAAACAGAGAAATGAGGAAACTATAATCTCATCACCCAAATATAACCAGACACATTTTTTATCTTTTTTCCTTTCTTCCATTTATTCATTCATTCTTTTTATTTTGTCTTAGTTTTTAGTTTAATTTTTTCCCTACATTTAGAGTATACTCATCTAGTTTTTTCTGTCCTACGGTAAATACTCTTGGTACAGTTAAATTCATATTTATTTCTTGACAGTAATGAATCATTTGATTTTTATTTACAAGTCAATACAAGTTTTAAAAATTTAAATTTTCTATTACTAAGCATGATATTCATTTTAAAAGGTCTAGACATTTTTCTTTGGGAAAAAAAAATAGTTAACTAAATTGAAATAAGTTTTCTCATATCACCTGTACAGAACCAAAAAAATGTGTCACTAATAATTTTATTCATTTTAGACATCTTTGGTAAATAATAAAATATTCTTTTAACTTTTGAATACTATTTATTTAATTTTCAAACCTTGCCACGTGTAAAACCTTTGATCTTTTCCAATATCTCCACATTATTTATGGTCAGTACATAGGGGATGACCATAAAGGGAATGGAAGGACTAGGGGACATTATCAATAAAAGGCCACCTTGTGAAGCTAAAACCAGCAAAAATCGATTCATAATGATTGAATTAATCCATAAGGCAAACTTCCTCAAGATGTTAGTGTATAAATATGCTGTAGTTAAACCAATATATCTCCAGTTCTTTAACAAGAGATGGGCAAAATTTCAGGCAATCTTAATTAGAATGTAATCATGTGAGAAAAAGATGAGCAACTCAGCCTGATTATAATCCTCCGATATAACACAATAAAGCGATACGTGAAAGGCATTCACCTATTTACTTATTTGTCTGGTTGGTTGGTTTGGAGTTATTAGTCACATACTATAAAATTCACTCTATACATTGTACAATCCAGAGGCTTTTGGTTTAGTCACAAGGCTGTACAACCATCACCACTATCTAATTCCAGGAAATTTTTGTCACCCCAAAAAGAAACCCCATTCCCTGGAGCAGTCACCATCTCCCTATTCCCCAACACTCTGTGCCTGGAAACCATGAATCTACTTTGAATCTATATGGATTTTCCTACTTTGAACATTCATATAGATGGAATCATTTGGATATCCCTCTGTGTCTGGCTGTCTTTCACTGAGCACAATGTTTTCTAAGATCATGTTGTGGTATGTATCAGTACATCATTCTTTTTTGCAGCTGAATAATAGTTCATTGTGTGGCTACACTGCATTTTGTTTTTCCATTCATCAGTTAACGGACATTTGGATTGTTTCTACTTTTTGGCTATTATGAATAATGCTGCCATGAACATTTGTGTACAGGTTTTTGTGTGGACATTTTCAATTCTTTTGAGTATATACCCAAGAGTAGACTTGTGGAATCATGTGGTAATTCTATATTTAACCGTTTTAGAAACTGCCAAGTTGTTTTCAAAAGTGGTTGTACCATTTCGCAATCCCACCAGTGATATACGAGGGTTCCAATTTCTCCACATCCTCTCCAATGCTAGTTATTGTCTGTCTTTTTTACTGTAGTCATCTTAGTGGATGTTAAGTGGTATCCCACTGTGGTTCATTGTGGGTTTGATTTACGTTTTTTTTAATGACCAATGATGCTGAACATCTTTTCATGTGCTTGTTGACCGTTTGTGTGTCTTCTTTGAAGAAATGTGTATCCAAGTCATTTGCCTGTTTTTCAAACTGGGTTGTTTATCTTTTTGTTGTTGAGTTGTAAGAGTTATTTTTTTTTCACAGTTGACAAACGTTCTTGTGTTAATATAATGGTTATTTAAAAAAAAAGCAAACAATGCTAGTGACCAGTGTGGTAAAAACATACAGTGTTCAAACCTAAGCAGGATTACATCCTTTGGACAGGTTTTATTCCCGGGATATTGAACTCCTCAGCCAGGACAGCATCTACTGCTTCACGCAGCAGCGTACACCACATGTTCACCTTCAATATCTCTCCACTCTTGTCGATCTTTCTCCACACAATAGCAGCTATCATAGAACTCTGTGAAAGTAGCTGCCAGCTCATATATAGAACCACAAGAACCAGAAGTAAGTCATCTAAAATCTTTTGTTGTATCTCAGGGAGCCATAAAATGCCATGGCCTAGTTTCCATTCTTTCTCATGGTGCAAAATAATCTTGGTCTGTCAAGCAGCTTTTTGGAGCATCTGATCATTGATACTGGCCAGATGTGCAATAGACCTGGTTCTAGTGAAACCACACAAAAAGTAAGCAGCTGTATTTCCTCTGTCATCTAGCATTTTGTCAAACGAGAAGATGTTGTCACTCAACCGGTTATGGGAAAGTTCAGTTTATTTGATACAGCCATAAGCAACAGATGTCTAAGCAGCACTCAATTCCTCTGCAGTTAAGACCTTGCTTCTTTCTTTTTCCTTCAATTTGTCCATGGATCACTTTAGTCCTTATTCCAGGTCTACGAGATGAACTGTTTCATCTGAACATATATTAAACTTCTTGTCTTCCCCTAGCAACACACCAAATCCAGCACGGGAGACTCTAGTTACTTTAGGATCATACCAACCAATCTTTTGAGCAGCAGCAAATATTTTTTGGAAGTGCAGAGATTGTCCACTGTTCACCCAGAGATAACCATATCTTCTTTCTCCTCAAATAGTTTTTGCTTAAGAGCAGCCAGATCAGATGCATCATAGTTATAACCTCCATCTGATTTTTTTTTTTTTTTTTTGAGACCAGGTCTCACTCTGTTACCCAAACTGGAGTGCAGTGACACGATCTCCAGGCTCACCACAACCTCGACTTCCCTGGGCTCAGGTGATAGTCCCACCTCAGCCTCCCCAGTAGGTAAAACTACAGGCATGTGTCACTGAATTTTTTTTTTTGTAGATACAAGTTTTCACCTTGTTGCCCAGGCTGGTCTCAAACTCCTGGGGCTCAAGTGATCCACCTGCCTCAGGCTCCCGAAGTGCTTGGATTATAGGCATGAGCTACCACACCCAGCCTCCATCTGATTTTACCATGGTTAATGGTATGGAACATCCTGGGACCAACACAAACTTTCTGCCATCATCCACTTGCACAAATCATCTATCATCAAATTCCTTTACATCATTCATCCTATCTTGACAGAAGAATTATTCTTTATCTATTAAAGAGATGTCCAGAGCATCATAGATTTTACTAAACTATTGGCAGGAGATATCACAGATAAACTTTCAAGTTTTTATAATATCTGGATTTTTACTCTGGAACAGAATGTGACACTGATATGCTCATTTCTTAAATTCCTCCTCAGTATCAAACCTCTTAGATTCCTTACAAAAGGCCTGAAGATTTCCAATAGGAGGTGAAACTGTTAGACAAGCTGGAAATTTATCTTGCAGGTGAGGAATATGCATGTCAAACTGGGTCCCCCAATCTCCTACATGGTTTAACCTAAGCACCTCGTATCCTGCAAATTCAAAGAGGCAGCACATGCTCTCTCCTATGATGGTCAACATGAGGTGGCCTGCACACATCTGTTTGAGCATTATGAGCATCTTGTATACGTCAAGTCCCCAAATTACGAAGATAAGATTCATGCTTTTGTGTATCCCTTGGAGTATTAGGAGAAGACAGATGTGAAACAATTTAATTTCAATAACATGCCATGGGCTGTCCGACAGGATTATGTGCAAGGTGTGCACATAAACTTTTACAACTCAACAGCAAAAAATAAAAGAACAACCCAATTCTTTAAAATGGGCAAAGGACTTGATTGAAGACAGAGCTGAGATTCTACCTGGGTTGGTGGTTGGAGATAAAGAATCAAAAATGTTTTCTTAGAGGAAATTACTTCTCAGGGTGTAAATGATGGTGTGGCATCTCCTGGACAGGATCCAAAGAGCCAGAATTTGCTGGTAGTGTGTTTCCAATACCATCCAAGGGTAAGGCATCCTGCACAGCAAACAAAACTTTTCAAATTTCTTATGAAAAGAACATAACTGATAAGAGTGGAGGTGGTTGCCTCATCATGTATAGATACCATCTTTTAAGATTTTAGATAGATATAGATAGATTTTATAGATACATCTATAGATATGTAGATAGAAATAAATCTATATCTCTCTATACATAGACAAATCTTTATATATCTATAGAAATGTATAGAGAAGCTTCTCTGTATTTGCAGCCATCATGGAAGAAAATTTAAAATTAAAGTGTTGACTTAATGTTGTTTGGAAGAGTTTTCAGGCAAAAAGGAACAGACTAACTAAAAATATAATTAACATTAATAGCCACCCACAAGAGGTCTTTGGTCATATATCTTTGATCATGAAGATATATCTATCTATATTTAGATATATTTATCTAAAGATAAATCTTTAGATTTATCTGAAGCAGTAAGAAAGCAATCTATATATATCGAATGCAATAGATCTTTATCTAAATAAGAAAAATCCCATGACTCCAATGAACTCCAATGACTTTTAAAGAACATAGATAATTTACAAACGAAAATAAAACAAAACATTTTAGTCAACACTTGAAAAAAATCAATCCCAGCATAATCCATACATTTTGGGGCAGTCATCCAGCCCTGAATGGCCTCTTGCTCTGACTTACCATGCTGTATTGCGGGGAGGAGACTTCTGCACTAAAAAGGATGCTGGGGCCTGAGGAAGCAGGGCCTCCATCTCTTCCGTATCTATTTCCTCAGAACTGTGAGAGTCAGTGTCCTCTGCCTCCATTTGATACATCCTTAGCTTTGCACTCAGCAGTTCCACATTCTTGCAAAGGTCCTGAAAAAAAAGAGTAATCAAGTACCTTAAAAAAATTCTAAATGTCTCCAAGTCTTACTATAGATAATGCTGAGTGCTTTTCCTCTGGATCACCTTGGGGGCCCACATTAGAAATCACACATAGGTCCCATGAACAGATCATTGGCAGGTGCATCTTGAATAGAAGCAGACATACACATTCACAGTGTAAGGTAGCACTACGGTAGAAAACTAAATGAAACCCACATGCTAATCTTTAACCACTAGATTATTAATGTAGGAAGATGTCCTTGTACTAAATTCCTCTACTCAACTCGTTCATCTATGCAAAGCATATTTATTGGGTGATTACTGCTAACAGGTTCTAGGATACAGTGTTAACAAAATAGACAAAGAATACAATCTATTACAGGGGCTGGGGGCAAGTGATAAACAGCTAAACACATACATACATTCTATATTACATGTTAAGATACACACTAAAGAGAAAACAAATAGGGTGTGGGAACGGAGAGTGTCTGAGGTTTGGTGATGGGGACATCTACTCAAGATAGTTGGGATAAGTTGGACTCAGAGCAGCTGACAGGTTGATACATTCATTCTTTCATTGTCTCATTTGCCCAATCACATTTACCTCAATGTCTAAGATCTTGTGGGAGGAGTTCAAAGATGGAGTTATTTTTTGAGGTAATGGAAATTAGGAGAGGTCTCAATGAAGAGATGACCTGTGAGCTGAGCCTTGAAGAATGGGTAATATGTAGACCCGAAGGGCAAGCACTAGAAGGCAGGATGAGAAGTAGAAGTAGCACAGGGGTGAGAGCTTGGGAGTACACTGGAATTGTGAATGTTCTGTTGGCCCAAGCAGAAGGCCAAAGGGAAGGAGGAAGGCCATAAGACTAGAAACCATCATTCTCAACAAACTAACACAGGAACAGAAAACCAAACACTGCATGTTCACACTCATAAGTGGGAGTTGAACAATGAAAACACATGGACACAAGGAGGGGTACATCATACACCAGGGCCTGTTGAGGGGTGCAGGGCAAGGGGAGGGATGGTATTAGCAGAAATACCTAATGTAGATGACGGGTTGATGGATGCAGCAAACCACCATGGGACATGTATACCTATGTAACAAACCTGCATGTTCTGCATATGTAACCCAGAACTTAAAGTATAATAATAATAATAATAATAATAATAATAATAATAAATTAAATTAAATAAAAAAGAAAGAGACTAGTATGTGGTGCACCGTCATATTCTAGGCAATGAATGACCCCTGTATTTAGACATAAATTATCTGATTTTATCATTGTTTGAATTGTGTAACTGAAATCTTACCTCCAGCCTTTCTATGACTTTCTTCTTTAATTCATAAACTTCATTACAAGTATTCACCTAAAAACACATCCACAATTCTGGGTAAAATGAAACTTATATTTTTCTGGTTTGTACAATAAAATCTCACTTATTTTGACAAACCTTATAAAATGCTTCATTGAAGTTTACTTTTACTTTGTAAACTTCTTCCTCTTAGAGCAAATTCATAGTGTAATCATAAATTGCAGACTGTAAGTGGTATAACCATAAGATTAACATAACAAGATTATTTTCAATACTTTAGAGGTATGCATTTACACAATAGCAGTTAATAATAAATCATGCTTCTCTCTTCATTACTCCTTCCTTGCTCCTTAAAAAACTTCTACCAGGACACAAGTTGAAGAAACATAGTTATGTTTCTGAGAAAATATTTCTTTTAAATATTTAACATTTTAGAATTTATGAATGTAAGTCATTATGTCAGACTGAATATTCAGGCCGGACGGCTTTGCAAAAGAGCTGTCCACAAAAAGATCTGGTTCCTCTTCTTCTCTTCCCATGTCTCCTATAGGTTGCCAGGTGGAGACAACAGATGGTTTTGGCTGGTTTCTGTCAATAAGCACAAGACATGGGCTGAAAGCAAACCATCACCTTCTAACACGTGAATGCCAATTGCACGTGTCACAAGTAAAGAATGCTTTTAAAGGTTTTAAATTAATCATCCACTAAGAGACGTTCAGGATACCCTGAAAAGCAGAGATATAGCAGGAAAAAGAGTATACTAGGATTCAAGAAAAATGAGTTCCAAAGATGACACTTATAGAAATTAATTTTTTTTTTTTGAGACAAGGTCTCATTCGGACATCCAGGCTGGAGTGCAGTGGTGTGATCATGGCTCACTGCAGCCTCCATCTCCCCAGGCTCATGTGATCTTCCCACTTCAGTCTCCTGAGTAGTTGGGACTATAGGCATGTGCCACCATGCCCAGCTAGTTTTTTATTTTTTGTAGAGATGAGGTTTCTTTCTCTTTTTTTTTAACTTTTATTTTAGGTTTAGGAGTACATGTGAAGGTTTGTCACACAGGTAAACTTATGTCATGGGGGTTTGCTGTACAGATTATTTCATCACCCAGGAATTAAGCCCAGTAGCCAACAGTTACCCCTTCTCCTCTTCTCTTTCCTCCCACCCTCCACCCTCAAGTAGACCCCAGTGTCTGTTTCCTTCTTTGTGTTCATAAATTCTCATCATTTGGCTCCCACTTATAAATGAGAAAATGTGGTATTGATTTTCTGTTCCTGAGTTAGTTTGCTGAGGATGACAACCTCCGGCTCCATCCATGTTCCCACAAAAGACATGATCTCGTTCTTTTTTATGGATGCATAGTATTCCATGGTATATATGTATCACATTTTCTTTATCCCAACTGTCATTGATGGGCATTTAGGTTGATTCTATGTCTTTGCTATTGTGAATAGTGCTTCAGTGAACATTCACGTTCATGTGTCTTTATGGTAGAGTGATTTATATTCCTCTGGGTATATACACAATAATGGGATTGCTGGGTCGACTGGTAGTTCTGCTTTTAGCTCTTTGAGGAATCGCCATACTGCTTTCTACAATGGTTGAACTAATTTACACTCCCACCCACTGTGTATAAGTGTTCCCTTTTCTCCACAACCTGGCCAACATCTGTTATTTTTTGACTTTTTAATAATAGTCATTCTGACCAGTGTGGGAGATGATATCTCATTGTGGTTTTGATTTGCATTTCTCTAATAATCAGTGATATTGAGCTTTTTTTCATATGTTTCTTGGCCGCATGTATGTCTTCTTTTGAAAAGTAGAGACAGGGTTTCACCATGTTGCCCAGGCTGGTCTTGAACTCCTGGGCTCAAGCAATCAACCCGTCTTGGCCCCCCAAAGTGCTGGGATTACAGGCATGAGCCACCATGCCCAGCCTCAGAAATAGATGCTTAAAGAAGTACTTGCAAGAGCAATCAAGGCATGGATTTTTGAGGCATAGTTTGTAACGGCAAACATTGATTATAAAGTACCAAATATCCAACAAAATAAAATTCATAAATTCAAATATCAAGCCCTGCATTATATAGGAGTGAAAAAAAAGTAAAACGACATCTACTAGCATAGAAAATTGTTGAAGAAAATACGCTAAGTGCCATAGCAGTTGCAAAACAATATGTATAATACAATCCCATCAAAACAACAATGTGTAAATGTATGTATAAAAATTTGGAAGAATATAAATATACTAAAACGTTCATTGTGTTTGTCTTTAAGGGAGGAGGATATTTTTCATTTTTATATGAAATCATTTCATAATGTTTTAATTGTTAAAATAAGCATGCAACCAGCCACAGTGGCTCATGCCTGTCATCCCAGCACTTGGGAGGCTGAGGTGGGAGAATCGCTTGAGGTCGGGAGTTCAAGACCAGCCTGGCCAACATGGTGAAACCCCGTCTCTACAAAAAATACAAAAAAAGAAATTAGCCAGCTGTGGTGGTGTGCCCCTGTAGTCCCAGCTACTGGGGAGACTGAGGCATGAGAATCACTTGAACCCAGGAGGCGGAGGTTGCAGTGAGCCGAGATAGCGCCATTGTCTTCCAACATGGGCAACAGAATGAGACTATCTCAAAAAAAAAAAAAGATCTATATATATATAAAATACATTATATATATTTATAATGACCACATCCTATGTAAGTGGCCATTGCGCTAGGCATCATGCTAGTTAGATACAAGTAACAAGAATATTTACCCTCAAGTAGCTTATAGGTGAATTAGAGAATATACAGTATAGCTATTTTTTAACACGTTTATTCATCATCAATCCCTGAATTGGGTGGTTTAATTATTTAGAGAGGAGCTGTGCTGTGACAATCACCTCTTATTTGGTATCCTAGTTTATTTACAGAGTAAACATCTTCATACAGCACTTATCAAAGATAACTGGGACAAGGTCAGTCTCTGAATGAAAGCCCAGAAATTCACATGGAAATTCTATTAGAAAGTGTAATGGCTTGGGGGCTCAATATTAGGCCAAATAACACCCAAAGGCCACCTCAAAGTCCTTTCTGTAGCTTGAAGTTCTTTCACATACTTTCGTTTCTGTTTTGCTTTTTTAAAAAATAATTTCACCAATTTTCCCTCCTTCTCTTTTCATGCCTTTCTTAGTTATTCCATTTCTTTATGAGGAATAAGTGAGCCAATATATGTGATATTATTTTAATTTTATTAACTAATTTCTCCTTTAATTTTCCCACATTTTATTTGCTATTCCTGTATCTATTTCTAACAATCTTCACTTTTCCCTTCACCAGAATAAGCCTACAGCCATTGCTACTAACTTTGCTTCTGTAACAATTTTACCTATTTATTTATTTTGTTGTTTTTGTTGTTTGCTGGTTGGTTGGTTTGTTGAGGCAGTGTCTCACTCGGCTGCCCAGGCTGGAGTGCAGTGGCTCACTGATCATGGCTCACTGCAGCCTTGACCTCCTGAGTCCAGAAGGTGATCCTCCCACCTCAGCCTCCTAAGTAGCTGGGACTACAGGCATGCACCACCATGCCTGGCTAATTTTTTAAATTTTTTGTAGAGATAGGGGTCTCGCTATGTTGCCGTGGCTGGTCTCAAACTCCGGACCTCAAGTGATCCTCCTCCCTTGGCCTCCCAAAGTGCTGGGGTTACAGGTGTGAGTCACCACATTCAGCCAACAATTACATTTAAAGCTTCACCTTTAGATATATTACCACATTTGTTTTTATGTAGCTTTTTCTATCAGACTGTAGGCTTCTTGAGACAGAACTTGTGCCATTTTTTTGAAGACACATTTATTGAGATATAATTTACATACAGTAAAACTCACTTTTTAAAGTATACAGTTCTATGAATTTTGACAAATGCATTCTGTTGTGTAATAACCACTACAAGAAGATATAGAATATTTCCATCAGCCCCTAAATTTCCTTATACCCCTTTGTCAATCCCTGTCCCCCTTCCTCCACTAAACCTGGGAAACTAACTGCTAATCTATTTTCTGTTCCTACAATTTTGCCTTTTTCAGAGTTACATAAACAGAAGCACAAAGTACGTAAATAGTCTTCTGAATCTGGCTTCTTTCACTTACTGTAATGCATGTGATTCATTCATGTTGTTGGGTCAATCAGAAGTTTGTTCCTTTTTATTGCTGAGTAGTATTCCATCACGTACGTGTACTGCAGTTTATCCAAATGACAACTGGCAGATATTTGAATTGTTTCTAGTTTTTAAGCTTGTGCTTGGTTTTTTGTTGCTTTTAATGTGTACATAAAACTGTGTATCCCCAGCACAGAGAATTTCCGTATATGTGTGTGATGCCTTCCTCTTGCATATTATTCCAAACTCCTCCCTTTAAAAAAATCTCACTTTCATTTATGTATGTGTTTCTCTATCTTTCTCCTCAGTCTTTTGATACTCCTTCCTCCCTCCCCGCACCTGCTACTGAAATCTACATTTTTGTAATACTAACAGTTGGATTTTGGAGGAAATTCTCTAAAGCAGAATATTTCTTGGCCTTTGTCCTCTTCCCTTTTTTATAGTTTGCAATTTCCAAAGCCCAAAGATAGTGAAAAAAACTCTTTCAACTCACACAAAATAAGATTGTGACTCAAAATGTTGGACTATATCAGTTAAAAGTAATTTTTCCCCCAGGCAATAGATTTGCACTGATCTGTAAGTTACTTTTAATATGTAAGAGGTCCAAATAAATGACACCTTCCTTTAATAAAAGAGAATTTTCTCTTTTACTGCTTCCAAAATCTACTCACATTTAAACTCTTGGGCTTGAGTTAAAATTGAAGCTGGCAATTTCAGTTAAAAGAGGTTGTTAGACACAGACTTTTTTCTTTTTCAGGGACCTTTCTTCAAGCCAGAAAAACTATCAGCCAGGACTCCGAAATCTAACTTGTGTCACAAGTTGATCTCTACCTTTCAGCTCTAATATTCTATTACTAATAAGAAAATGGAACATTAGGCTGGGTGCGGTAGCTCATGCCTGTAATCCCAGCACTTTGGGAGGCTGAGGTGGGCAGATTCCTTGAGACCAGGAGTTCGAGATCAGCCTGGCCAACATGATGAAACCCCATCTCTACTAAAATTACAAAAATTAGCCAGACATGGTGGCACACACCCGTAATCCCAGCTACTCAGGAGGCTGAGGCATGAGAATTGCTTGAACCCGGGAGGCGGAGATTGCAATGAGCCAAGATCATGCCACGGCACTCCAGCCTGGGCAACAGAGTGAGACTCTGTCTCAAAAAAAAAAGGAAAGAAAGTGGAAAATTAAACCTTAATTTGAGAAGAGTCTATAAGAAGTGTGAGGAGACACAACATCAGGAAAACTCTGGAGATTGTGAAAACCAACACAAGAACTCTTCATGGGGCATCCAAGACAAACACAGGTAGATCCCTTGCACTCTAAGGATGCAGTTTTTGACCAATATTTATTTCCTGGATGTATTCTCTGTACCGTTAGGTGCTGACATACAAAGATTAAGAAAACCAATTCTCCCTTAAGGTACTCATCTTAAGGTGGCAACAAGATAGAGTTTCGTGGTAGCCGAGTTTCTAGGTAAAGTAGAAAAGTCTAGGTTTTTTGTGTCATCAGATAAAAGCAGTGTTACTCAGGAAAAGGGTGCTCAGACGTGACCACCAGAGAGCACTCCTGCTTATGAGTCTTACTTCTTGTTATTGCCTATTAACAATAGAAAGGTAGTAGGGAAAGAAGTGACAGAAATCCCCAACCTCTCAGTCTTTCCCAAGTCTCTAGCTTACCTCAGTGCTTGTCCCTTGATCAAGGTCAAGGCCCCGGTCCTCCAGCTTTTCAATTTGACCCTTCAGGGTCAGCATGTCTTTTAATAAGCTGCAAACAGACCAAGATACTAAGGCCTGCAGATTAAGAAAAATCACCCAAGAGAGGAGGTAATTTTGATCTTTCAAAAATGAAATACCATTCCCATATAAAAGGATGCTTTGGTAGTGCTTGTATTGCAATGGGAAGTAAATGAAATTCAAAAAAGTAAAAAGTACTCTAAGTAATCTAGATAATATTAAAGAGATATGAGGCCTAACTGGACACAGGAGCTGAAAATTAAAAGGGTTAAAATATAAGTTTATAAAATTTCTAAGAAAAAAACACACAGAAAATTTGGGGGACATAAGATTAGGAGAAGAGTTCTTAGGCTTAACATCAATTATATAATCTGTAAGAGGGAAAATTGATAATTGAACCTCATCAAAATTAAAACCTTAATTTGGCCAAAGACCCTGTTAAATGGATGAAAAGACAAATTACACACGGGGAAAAATATTTGCTTAGCACATATATGGCAAAGGCCTTGTATCTAGACTATATAAAAATCTCAAAAAAAGCTCAACATTAAAAAAAAACCTATCCAATTAGAAAATAAGCAAAAGGCATGCACAGACATTTCACCAAGAGGCTATATAGATAGCAAATAAACATACAAAAGGATGGTCAATACTTATTAGCCATTAGAGAAATGCAAATTAGTACCACAATGATATATCACTACATACTTGTCACAATGGCAAAAAAAAAAAAAAAAGAAAGAAAAGAAGAATAGTGATAACACCAAATGCTAGTGAGGATGTGGAGAAACGCGATCATTCATAAATTGGTGGTGGAAAAACAAAAGGTTTCAGCCACTCTGGAACACTGTTTGGCAGTTCCTGTCAAAACTTAAAACTGACTTACCATATGACCCAGCAATTTCATCCTGGGTAATTATACCAGAGAAATGAAGACTTATTTCCCATAGTACGCGTATATTCAAAGCAGCTTTATTCATAATAGTCCCAAACTGGAAATTACACATTTGTCCTTTAGTGGATGAATGGTTAAACACACTGCATAGGTTCATATCATGGAAGACTACTCAGCAATGAAAAGGAAGGAAAGATCAATACATGCGAAAATTTGGATAAACCTCAAAAAAATTATCCTGAGTGAAAAAAAGCCAATCTCAGAAGGACAAACTGCATGATTTCACTTATGTAGCATTCATGAAATAGCATAATTATAGACATGTGGAACAGATTTGTGGTTGCCAGGGGTTAGGGATGGGTAGGAGGAAATATATGTATAAAGGGGTAACACAAGTGCATCTTATGCAATGATTCAGTTGAGGATCTGATTGTCATAGTCATGCAAGGCTAAACATCTCATAAAATTGCATGGAACTATACACATACAGATGAGTGCATGTATAAATGGTGAAGTCTGAATAAGCTCTCTGGATTGTACCAATGTCAGTTTCTTGGTTTTGATGGCATACCCAAGTTAGGCAAGATGCTACCATTCAGGAATGCTGAAAATAAGGGTTCCTTGCATATATATTTTTGAAACCTCCTATGAATCTATAATTATTTCAAAATAAAAAGTTAAAAATAAAAATGGAAGCATAGGTAAAGAGGGTTGCAAAAGAAAAAAGGAGGAGAATTAATAAAGAAGAATAATGTGACTAGTTTCATATTTACCTTCTAGTTTTTGGTCTACAGGTCTCTGCAAACTGTAAAGCCCTCTGGCCCAAATATTTTATAACGTTAATTCAGAAGGTATTTGTTCAGCATTTACTATGTGCCAAGTATTATGCTGAATGCTGATGATTAAAATAGAGAATAGTATAAGAAAGGTCTTTGCCCTTTTGAAGATTATAATGTAATGTGGATTTGCAGGCAGACAAGGAAATCCATTAAAAATTAGAATGTTTTTAATGTTTTGGGTACTTCTGCTTTCAATCAACATGGAGTAACAGGAATTGGATTTAGCCTCCCATTTTAAACAATTTTAAACTTGAAAAGAATATATGAGACAATGGTTTTCAGACGTTGAACAACAGACAGTGCAGAACGTGGATCCCTCAGGTGGGAAACAAGTGAGATGGGATCTATAGTTACTTCAAGTTACTCCTGGAAAGAGTTTCCCGACTTCAAGTCAGAGAAAGGGGATGCAGGAGAAGGCTGGTGGTCTCCGTGAGTTGAGAAGATGAAGTTAGAAGCTCAGGGAGGCCACATGGAGTAGATTTGCCCAGCAGAGTGCCAAAGAGGAGAGAGCTGCACAGAGAAAAAGCTCCAGAGATCTTCCCACTTGAGAAAGCCCCACTTGGGCCTTCAGCTGAGGCACTGATTAGCACACAGGTGTGATAAAACTACTTGAAATGGGAGGGAAATCATAGCAGATTGAAGTGGGCAGAACAATCTCTAAAGATCAAGCAGTGCTGAGAATAATTGCCAGAGTGGAAAACTCTTATAATACTCAAGTCATCAGGTAGAATACTCAGAAGGTATTGTTTCAATAGTGGAGCCGTATTAGTCCTAGACTAAAGGCTGCTTTGGTCCTGCCCTACAATAATTAAAAGCAATCCTCAAAAGGGTCAGACCACTTCTAAGTAATTTAACTGTGTTCCAGAACAAAGCTCAAAATTTAAATGTACACACAAATGTCTCCAGAATACTCAAAACCAAATGAGGTAAAATTGACAATGTCTGGCATTTAGTAAAGAATTACTAGGCATGCAAAGAAGCAGGAAGCAACAGTCTATATGCTTATAAAAGGCTGAGTGCCGTGGCTCACACCTGTAATCCCAGCACTTTGGGAGGCTGAGGTGGGCCGATTGCCTGAGGTCAGGAGTTCGAGACCAGCCCGGCCAACACGGTGAAACCCCATCTCTACTAAAAATACTAAAAAAATTAATCAGGTATGGGTGGCACGTGCCTATAATCCCAGCTACTCGGGAAGCCAAGAATTTCTTGAACCCAGGAAGTGGAGGTTGCAGTGAGCCAAGATCACGCCACTGCACTCCAGCCTAGGTGACAGAGTGAGACTCTATCTCAAAAAAAAAAAAAAAAACTTAAAAAAATAAATAGAGGCAGTATTAAAAATGATTAGATGATAGAATTAGTAGATAAGGTTATTTTAAAAGTTGTAACTATATTTTATTGTCCAAGAAGGTAGAGAAAAACATGAGTACATTTAGGAGAGATATGAAAAATAGAAAAAAGACCCAGATCAAACTTCTATAGACACAAACTACAGTGTCTGAGATGAAAAATACACTGGAGGGGATTAATGTTATATCAGATACCGCAGAACCAAAAGATTAGTGAATTTTAAGATATAGTGATAGAAAGTCTGAAATGAAACACAGAAAGAAAAGAGAGAAAAAAAAAGCCCAGAACATCAGTGAGTTATGGGTTATGAGACAACCTAAAGTGGCCTAAGACACATGTAATTAAAATCCTTGATGGTGAGATGAGGGAACAGAAAAAAATGTTTAAAGAAATAATGGCTCAAATTTTCCAAATTTAAACTACAAACTTGCAGAGCCATAAGGCACAACGCAACTTAACAAAAGAAAAATTAAGAAAACTACATGAAGGTCGATCATATAAAAATGATTAAAAACTATATATATATATATATATATATTTTTTTTTTTTTTTTTTTTTGAGATGGAGTCTTACTCTGTCGCCAGGCTGGAGTGCAATGGCACGATCTTGGCTCACTGCAGCCTCCACCTCCTGGATTCAAGCAATTCTCCTGCCTCAGCCTCCTGAGTAGCTGGGACTACAGGCACATGCTACCACACCCAGCTAATTTTTGTATTTTTAGTAGAGATGGGGTTTTACCATGTTGGCCAGATTTTTTAAAAATTTTGAAAACAGCTGGGAATAGAGCAAGGAAAATTTTATTTGTAGAAAAATATGGAAGAGAATGACAGCCAACTTCTTGTCAGGCACAACGCAAACCAGATTTCAACAGCATCTTTAAAGTACTGAGAAAAAAATGTCAGTATATAATTATATACTCTGCAAAACTATCTTTACAAAATGAATGCTTTTTTTCAGACATAAAAAGCTAAAAGAACACATCCCCAGTAGAACTGTATCACAGAAGATAGTTTTGGGTTTTTGTTTTTTGTTTTTGAGAGTCTTGCACTGTTGCCCAGGCTGGAGTGCAGTGGAGTGATCTTGGCTCACTGCAACCTCTGCCTCCTGGGTTCAAGCAATCTTCCTGCCTCAACCTCCCGAGCAGCGGGGATTACAGGCGCCCAGCTAATTTTTGTATTTTTAGTAGAGACGGGGTTTCACCATGTTGGCCAGGATGGTCTCCAACTCCTGACCTCAGGTGATCCACCCACCTTGACCTCCCAAAGTGCTGGGATTACAGGTGTGAGCCACCATGCCTGGCCACAGAAAATAGTTTTTAAAAGCCCTTCAACAAGAGGAAAATGATGCCAGATATAGATTGTATGCATACAAATGAATGAAGAGCACTGGTAATAGTAAATATGTGTGTAAATATAAACAATTTTTTTCTTACTTTAAAAAATCACCTTAAACAATAGTTAATCATTTAAAGTAAAAAACAAAACAAAACAAAAACCCCTGACGTATCATGGGCTTATATTCAGTACAGAAGTAAGATGTACGCCAACAGTAGTGCAAAGGCCGGGAGAACAGACATAGAAGTACAGCATATGTAAGAGGTAAAATATTACTTGAAGGCAGATAGTGATAGTTTAAGAATCATTCTATTTAAGCCAAATTAACTATTTTTAAAAAACAATGAAAAAGGATGGGCATAACGGTTCACGCCTATAATCTCAGCACTTTAGGAGGCTCATGCAGGGGGATTGCTTGAGGCCAGGAGTTGGAGACCAGCCTGGGCAACAAAGCGAGACCTTGTCTTTACCTACACACAAGTTTCAAAAATTAGCTGGGCATCATGGTGCACACCTGTGGTCCCAGCTACTCAGGAAGCTTTAGGTGGGAGGACCGCTTGAGCCCAGGAGTTCAAGGCTGCAGTGAACTATGATCACACCACTGCACGCCAGCCTGGGTGACAGAGCAAGACTGTCTCGAAAAAGAAAAAAAACAAAGAGAAGGATAAAGAAATCATTTATAATGATAAAGGGATCAGTTCTTCAAAAAGACATAACAGTCCTAACATTCATGCAACTAAAACCAGAGCCTCAAAGTACATGAAGCAAAAACTGATAGCTCTGCAAGCAGAAATAGACATATCTACAGTTACAGTTGGAGATTTCAACACTCCTCTATTGATCATCTATAGAGGTAGAGAGAAAATCCATAAGTACCTGGAAGACTTGGATAACACTATCAACCAACCTGACCTGATTGATATTTGTAGACTACTCTACTCAAACAATAGTAGAATACACATTCTACTATTGTATTGCACACATATCATTTACCAAGATAGACCATATTCAGCGCCATAGAACAAGTCTCAATACATTTAAAAGGAGTTGGCTGGGCACGGTGGTTAACACCAGTAATCCCAGCGCTTTGGGAGGTCAAGAAGGGAGGATTGCTTGAGGCCAGAAGTCCAAGGCTAGCCTGGGCCACATGGCGAAACTTTGTCTCTACAAAAAATACAAAAATTAGCTGGGCCTGGTGGTGTGCACCTGCAGTCCCAACTACTAGGGAAACAGAGGTGGAAGGATTGCTTGAGCCTGGGAGGTTGAGCAGTGAGCTGTGATTGTGCCACTGCACTCCAGCCTGGGCAACAGAGCGAGACCTTGTCTCAAAAAAGAAAAAAATTAAAAGGAGTCAAGTAACATAAAATTTGTTCTTTGGTCACAATGGACTTAACTGAGAAGTCAGTAAGAGAACGGTATCTGGAAGATCTCTACATACCTGGAAACTAAAACATACTTTAAATAATCCATGGGTTGGCCGGGTGTGGTGGCTCATGCCTGTAATCCAAGCACTTTGGTAGGCCAATGTGGGCGGATCACCTGAGGTCAGGAGTTCAAGACCAGCCTGGCCAACGTGCTGGAACCCTGCCTCTACCAAAAATATAAAAATTAGCCAGGCATGGTGGCGAATGCCTGTAATCCCAGCTGCTCGAGAGGCTGAGCAGGAGAAATGCTTGAACCCGGGAGGCAGAGGCTGCAGTGAGCCAAGATCATGCTATTGCACTCCAGCTTGGGCTGATGGAGATGAAGCGAGACTCCATCTCAAAATATAAAACATTAAAATATATTTACAGATATAAAAATAATCCATGGGTCAAAGGAGAGATCAAAAGGGACATTAGAATGTATTCTGAGCTGATTGAAAATGAAAACACAATATATAAAAATCAGTTTGATGCAGTGGAAACAGTGCTTACAGGGAAGTGCAGAGCACTAACTGATTATTATAATAGAAAAAGACAAGAGATCTCAAATCAATGACCTAAAGTTCACCTCATGAAATTAGAAAGAGGATAGCAACATAAGCCTAAAGTCAGCAGAAGAAAGGACATAATTAAAAAAAAAAAGCAGAATCAAATGAAAATTTTCAAAAAGCCAGAAAAACAATAGCAAAAAACCCAATGAAATCAAAAGCTGGGTCTTTTAGCAAACCAAAAAATGTATAGATCTCTATCCAGACTGATACAACAAAAAGAAAAGAAGACACAAATATTCAATTTCAGGAATAAGTGAGGAGACATCAATACAGATGCTAAAGACATCATATAATAAGGGAATGTTACGGATAACTTTATGTCAATATCTTTGACAACTTTGATAAAATGGGCACATTGTTTGAAAGGTACAATCAACTTAATATCTTTAGCAATATATCCTGAATAGCCCTATTACATCTATTAAAGAAATTAATAGATACAAAATAAAATTCATAAATTAAATTTTTAATTAAAAACCTTACCACAAAGAAATTTCCAGGCAATACAGCTTCCCTGGTGAATCCAATCCCACATTTAAGGAAGAAATTATACCACTTCTACACAAACTTAGCCAGAAAACCAAACAGGTCCGGGGAAAATCTTAATGGTTTTCTACATGGCAAGTGTTATTCTGATATTAAAACTAGACATTACAAGAAAAGAAAATTGTAGGGCAATACCCCTCCAGGAGGAACTCTCCATTAGAGGGAAAAGGTAAGAGATCCCTAGTGGTCCACATTCAACTTCTGCAGTCCTAGCCACAGGAGAGTTCCTCGGCCTTTGCAGGCCCTGAGACCAGTATAGGGAGCTGTCTGGAGTCCATGTGATAACTGTTTCAGACAAAGTTTGTCAGGGGTCTTACACACCCACTGAGACCAAAGCAACTGCA
Source organism: Homo sapiens (assembly GCF_000001405.40). Classification (NCBI taxonomy): domain Eukaryota; kingdom Metazoa; phylum Chordata; class Mammalia; order Primates; family Hominidae; genus Homo; species Homo sapiens. The sequence continues at coordinate 27,481,210 of NC_000012.12, read as the reverse complement.
GCACGGCACCATTTTGAGAGCCCAGCAGCCACAGACTACCTCCTGCCCTGGGGCCCAATAGCCCCTGCATTTCCACATCCCTGAAGCCCTGCCGACATCCCTCTACGTGCACCCAGAGCTGCAGTATCACCATGCCAACTGAATCCAGCATGCAGTCAGGTCCCCAGCACTCTAGCTCAAGCAGTGTATTACACCCAGGGAACAGGGTAAGGAAGGCTGCCCCAAGGACAAAGGGAGCCAAAGTTTGGGCTTCCCAGAGCCAGGAGTCTCTGCCACTGACAGTGTGTTAGTCTGTTCTTGCATTGCTATAAAGAAATACCTGAGACCAGGTAATTTATAAAGAAAAGAGGTATATTTTGGCCTATGGTTCTGTAAGCTGTACAGGCATGGCACCAATATCTGCTTGGCTCCTGGTAAGGGCCTCAGGAAGCTTACAATCATGGTGGAAGATGAAGGGTAGCCAGCGTATCACATGGTGAGAGCAGGAGCAAGAGAGAGAGAGGGGGGGGAGAGGTGCCACATTCTTTTAAACAACCAGATCTCATGTCAACTCGGATCAAGAACGCACTCATTATCCTGAGGACAGCACCAAGCCATTCATGAGGGATCTGCCCCTGTGACTTAGACACCTCCCACTAGGCCCACCTCCAACATAGGAGATCACATTTCAAAATGAGATTGGGTGGGGACAGACATCCAAACCATATGAGTGCCAAGTTGACAAGGGGTTGACTTGTGATAGTTAATACTAGATGTCAACTTGACTGGATTAAGGGATGCTTAGATGGCTGGGAAGTCCACTCCACTAGCCACTACTGGCACCTGTGCATGCCACCCAGGGGCCTGAGGAGCCATTGTTCCTGGGTGTGTCTGTGAGGGTGTTGCCAGAGGAGATTGACATTTGAGTCAGTGGACTGGGAGAGGAAGACCCACCCTCAGTGTGGGTGGACACCATCCAATCGGCTGCCAGCACAGCTGGAACAAGGCAGGCAGAAAAGGGGAAGAAGCAGCTTGTTTGCTGAGTCTGCTCACTCTCTCTCTCTTCCTGTGCCATGCTGGACACTTGCTTCCTCTCCTTTTGCCCTTGGATATCAGCCTCCAGGTTCTTTGGCCTTTGGATTGTGGGACTTGCACCAGTTGCTTTCCAGGGGCTCTTGGGCCTGCAGCCACAGACTGAGGGCTATGCTGTTGGCTTCCCTGGTTTTGAGGCTTTTGGACTTGGACTGAGCCATGCTACTGGCTTCTCTCTTTCCCCAGCTTCCAGACAGCGTATCGTGGGACTTCACCATGTGTATTAGTCTATTCTCATGCTGCTAGTAAAGACGTGTGAGACTGCGTAATTTATGAAGGAAAGACTTTTTAATGGACTCACAGTCCCACATGGCTGGGGAAGCCTCACAATCATGGTGGAAGATGAAGGAAGAGCAAAGGGATGTCTTACATGGTGGCAGGCAAGAGAGGGCTTGTGTAGGGGAACTCCCTTTTATAAAACGATCAGATCTTGTGAACTTATTCTCTATCACAAGAAAAGCACAGGAAATACCCGCTCCCATGATTCAGTTACCTCCCACTGGGTCCCTCTCACAACACACGGGAATTATGGGAGCTACAATTCAAGATGAGATTTGGGCGGGGACACAGCCAAACCATATCACCATGTCATCATATGAGCCAGTTCTCCCTAATAAACTAATGCAGCTATCGATATGGATATATCCTATTGGTGCTATCTCTTTAGAGAACCCTGACAAATACAGACAGCAACCCTGGAGCCTCCAGCAGCAGGGCTGCCTTGCAGCTGCACACACCTTCAGGAGGCCTGGGGACTGGCCCACCTGAGCACCATCCTGGGGCCAGATGACAGGTCCACCCACTAGCCACTACTGGCACCTGTGCATACCACCCAGGGGCCTGAGGAGCAGCCTACCCCACCCACTGCCATCACTGTTGGCACCAGGGCACACTATCCAGGGGCCCAGATATCAGCCAACCAGGCCTGCCTCTGCCAGCCCATGCACACCATCAGGGGACCTGATGACAGGCCCATCCCACTTATCAGCACCACTGCTGGTATTCTATTGCTGCACTGCCTAGGGGCCTGGGGACTGACTTGCTCCACCCATAGCCACTGACACCCACATACACTATCAAGGGGCCTGACAACAGTCCTGTTCAACCCACCCCTACTGCTGCCTGAGCATGCTATCCAGGAGCCTGGTAATCAACTCACTCTGCCTGCCATTATTGGCAGTCATTCATGCCATCTGAGGGCCTGAGGACAGGTCCACCCTGCCACTGCCACCATCAATAGCACTGGGGACTTGTGTGCATCATTGAGGAGTTTGAGGACAGGCCCGCCCCCCGTGTTGCCAGCACCAGTGCCTGCCACACATCATTTGGGAACCTCAGGATCAACCTGCCCTGCCTTCAGGGTACCAACACTTGCTTTCTGTGGGCCTGAGGATGGGCCCTGCTCACTGCCACTGCCTATGTACATTGTTCAAGGGCCTGGTGATAGGCCCACCCTTCCTGCTGCCTGCACCTATGTGTGTTTCCTGGGGGCTTAGGGACCAGCCTGCCCAGCCTACAGCTGCCGCCATCACTGGTATCTACCCATGCATGACTCTTAGGGGCCTGAGGACTGGCCCCCCCAGCTCACTGCCATCACTGCTGGCAATGTGCACATGCTGCCTGGGAATCCAAGGATTGGCCTGCTGCTACTATTGCCACTGTCAGTGCCACACACAGTGCCCAGGGACATGATGACCCACCTTCTCAGCCACTGCTGCCACTGTCAGCAATCAAGCAAGCTGCCTAGAAGCCAAAGATCTGGCCCACCCAGACTAACCACCACTGGTGCATGCATATGCTGCATGGGGACCTGAGGACAGGCATTCCCACCCTGCTGCCACCACCACTAGCACTTGAGGACCAATCTGCCTAGGGTAACTGTCCCCAGTAAAGTTTGCCACAGCCTCCACAAATAAGCACAGCCTAAGCCACTGATGAACTTACAGATACCACTGACGCTGATTACAACCAAAGAAATCATGTAGAGACTACACTAGTATGCCCACCCACCAATAATCAAAGCCAAAGCACCCTACTCAACTAACACTATAAATACAGCTTTAGGAAAACCTAATCTTTCCCTATGAAAGCCAATGCATAAAATTGGAAGAAGTGACTATTACACCAGATGTATAGATATCAATGTAAGAACCAAAGAAACATGAAAAAGGAAGGAAACATGACATCTCCAAAGGAGTGCAATAATTCTCCAGTAACATCCCAATGAAAAGGGAATCTATGAAATGCCTGAAAAAGAATTCAAAGTATTGAAACTAAAGAAAATCAGTGAGATATAAGAGAACACAGGTAAGCAATACAAAGAAGTCAAGAAAACAATTCATAATCTGAGTCAAACAGAAATTCTGAGACTGAAGAATTCAATGAATGAAATAAAAATATAATAAAGAGCTGAAATAATAGACTAGATCAAGCAGAAGAAAACATTTCTAAACTTTGAAGACAAGTGTTTTGAAATAACCCAATCAGCCAAAAAAAAAAAAAAAAGAATGAAAAAGAATGAAGAAAGCCCTACCTGACATTTGGGACACCATAAGGAAACCAATATTTGGATATTAGGAGTTCCAGATAGAGAATAAGTGGGCAAAGGCATTAAAAAAAATTTAATGAAATAATAGCTAAAAACTTCCAAAGTCTTGCAAGAGATAGACATTCAAATACAGAAAACACAAAGAACCCCAAATAGATTTGTATCAAAAAAGTCTTCTCCAAGGCTCATGACAGGCAAACTGTCAAAATCAAAGACAAAGAGAGAATTCTAAAAACAGCAAAAGAAAAGTGTCAAGTCACATATAAGGGAATCCCCATCAGACTAACAGCAGGTTTCTCAGCAGAAATCTTATAGGCAAGGAGAGAATGGGATGATATATTCAAAGTGCTGAGAGGAAAAAAAAAAAAAAAAAAAAAAAAACCTGACAGCCAAGAATACTATACCCAGCAAAACTATCTTTCAACAAATGAAAGAGAAATAAAGTTGTTCCCAGACCAGGAAAAAGTGAGATAATTCATCACCACAAGAAATGCTTAAAGAAATCCTACATCTGGAAGTGAAAGAACAAAATCTACAAACATGAAAACTCACAAAAGTATCAAATTCACTGATAGAATAGATATACAAATGAGAAAGAGACAAAAATCAAACATTACCACTACAGAAAACCATCAAACTGCAATTATAAACAATAAGAGAGAAAGAAATAAGGATATACAAAACAACCAGAAAACAATGAACAAAATGACAGGAATAAGTCCTTACTTATCAATAATAACCTTGAATATAAATGGATTACATTACCCATTTAAAAGATATAGAGTGGTTGAATTGATTTTTTAAATGACCCAATTATATGCTGCCTAAAAGAAACTCACTTCGCTGTAAAGACACATGTAGACTGAAAGTGAAGAAATTGAAAAAATATTTCATGCAAACAGAAATCAAAAGCAAGCAGGAGTGGCTATACTTAGAACAGACTTTAAGTCAAAAACTATAAAAAAAGACAAAGGAGGGTATTATATAATGACAAAAGGATCAATTTAACAAGAGGATATAACAATTCTAAATATATATGCATCCAACACTGGAGCACCCAGATATATAAAGCAAATATTACTAGATCTAAAGGGAGAGACAGACTTCAATACAATAACAGTTGGGGACTTTAATGCCAGACTCACAGCATTGGACATATCATCTAGGCAAAAAATTAACAAAGGAACATTGGATTTAAACTGCACTTTGGACTAAATGGATCTAACAGACATTTACAGAACATTTAATGCAACAGCTGCAGAATACACCTTCTTCTCATCAGCACGAGGAACATTCTCTGGGATAGACCATATGTTAGGCCACAATACAAGTCTTAACAAATTTTAAAACATTGCAATCATATCAAGTATCTTCTCAGATTACACTGGAATAAAACTAGAAATCAATACCAAGAGGAACTTTGGAAAATATAGAAATGTATGGAAATTAAACAACATGCTCCTGAATGACCATTGGGTCAAGGAAGAAATTAGGGAAGAAATTAAAATTGCTTGAGACAAATGAAAACAAACAACCTACCACAATTTATCAGAGACATCAAAAGCCTGACAAAGAGGTAAGTTTACAGCAATAAACACCCACATCAAAAAAGTAGAAAGATTTCAAATAAACAATCCAACAGTGTACCACAAGGAACTAGAAAAGCAAGAACAAACCAACCCATAAATAACAACCCAGCAACCCAATTTTTTAAATGAGCAAAAGATAAACAGATATTTCATCCAAGAAAGTATACCTATGGCCTAAAGACTTTATCATCTTAAGCCCAAAGTTTCTTAAATTTTTAAAGCTATGAAACTTTCTGCTATTTTATGACCAACCCCAACACCCTACAATTACCTCTTCACTGTGTTTTCTGTTACATTTATTTTTTTAATAATATTGTCAATTTTCTCCGTTCCGTCTATGTAATCAGCTCCAAGTTCTTTCACCTGGAGACCTATCTTTGTGTTCCAGTAGTTTAGCTTGAGGAACATGCCCTTCAGACACCTGCGGAAATATTATGGTGATCATTTTCAAAGCAGAAAATGGGAAACAATTCACATAGCCTGAAATGCTCTTCCTTTGAATAGCGAGTTGATCTGTTTAGTCTTCCTTGTCACCAAAATGGGCCAGGTGGGCACACAAGCCTCAAGAAAAGAAGTTTGGGTATTTATTTGATATCCACTTTAGCAGATCTTTAAAGACTCTATAAAACAAAGCATATTTTATGTTTAATAAAAAAAGATATATTTTTAATTTCACTGTGTGGAATGAATGTTAAATATTGATATTAAGATAGTGGTTACATCATTCTGGGGGAGGAGAGGTATACAATAGGGAAAAGAGCCACAAGGGCTTAACAACATACTCTTAATGATAATTATGGTTTTCCTATCTAGAAAATTATCTGAGAAGGCTTAAATATATATTAATTTCAGGCCTCAAAGAAGAGTTTGCTCTTTCTTTTTTCCCATGCTCTGTCTACATCCCTAAAATGTCCTTACACCACATTATTGCTAGATCATGTAGGTAGTTACCTATGCACAGGACTGCTTTATGGTTCAAGACATGTATGGATTTTAAATCTTCCAGACTTTCCCTAAGTTATCTGCTTAAATTCTATTTTCCCCTCCACACATTATTAAATGCTCTGTCTTGCATGTGTCAAGACTTACAGTTCAAGGAGGTTCTTCTTTGAAAACTGCAGAGATGTAGACGCTTGAGGGTCCTCATCAACATCTGTTTCTTGCTTATCCTGTTTACTCAGGTCCTGGTCATGCTCAGCCTCTAGCTCCAACATACCCTGGTAAAGATGATGATGGAAGCAAAGCAGAACAAAAGGTTAGTACAAGATGTGGTGGTTCTTCCAGCCCTACCCAATCCCCCTTTGCTGGGGTCAAGCACATAGTCCTCTCTGAGACTGGAGCTTTCTGATGCATCTGTAAGCTAAGCAGACATGCCCTTCTGCTCTGTCTACAGAGGAAAGCTGAGGCAGGGGCATGGAGAGAATCAGTGTCCACACGGAGAGCTCTTTTCAGTCCTGATGAGTAATCGAATTCCATCTGACCACGGACTCCAAAACTCCACTCAAATTAGATGACTGTTCTGGTCTCTTAAAAAAAATCAATGTCATAAAAAAGAAAAGGTGGCAGGACTATTCTATATTAAGAGAGTCTAAAGAGATATGAAAACCAAACATATTGCATAGATCTTTTTGGGATGCTGGTTTAAAAAATATGGCTGTAAAAGACATTTGGGGGACAATTAAAGAAATTAGAATATTGAGAGAATTGAGATTATTATATTAATGCTAATTTTCCCAGATGTGATAACAGTATTTTGTAGGAGAAAGTTTTATTTTTAGAGACGCTTTCTGAAGTAAACAGGAATGAGATATCATGCTGTCTTTGACCTACTTTTAAGTGGTTCAGAAAGTTTCATCTATTTATATACACAAAGATAAAGCCAATGTGAGAAATGTGAAAGATTTTTAAATACAGGTGTAGGAATATGGTTAATCATTGCATAATTCTAAGTTGACCTTTTAAACTGTTTCATATCAAAAAGAGTTTGGGGGAAAACGCCTACTCTATGAGTTTGATCAATACAATTTACTTTTTTGTTTCTGTATTCTTTGCCATGTTCTAGAAAAGCATCCAAGACATGTTCTGCTATTTCAAGTCTCTGCATGCAAAAATCGACAATGATTTATCCTTGAACACTTCTTTAGTAACTCTTTATGAAATATTTCTTCTGTCCTTTGAAGAAGTTTGATCTGAATTTCCTGTGTTTCACAGAACTATTTTTAAACTGGAAGGAGAAAAGTTTGGAGGAGGGAGAATAGATCAGTTTCTTTTTTAAATGTCTGCGTAAACTACTGGCCAAGTCAATAGAAATAACTAACATTCATGTAACTCTTTACAAATTAGTTTCATGTGCATTATTTATTTTCATTCTCACATGGCCATTTGTATTTAGTGACTTGCCCAAGGTCATAGAGTATAGAGAGTTAAGTGGTGGTCCCAAACAAGGAATGCCTATGTCCTAATACAGAACTAGGACCCCATGCATATTATCTTATTTGGAAAAAGAGTCTTTGCAGATGAAACTAAGAATCTTGATATAAGATCGTCTCAGATTACTTGAATGGGTTCCTAAATCCAATGACAAACATCCTAATGAGAGACAGAGGAGGAGAAGACAGACAAAGAGAAGACCATGTGAGGATGAAGACAAGAGACCAGGAGTTATGTAGCTACAAGCCACTGAAGGCCTGGAGTCCCAGAAGCCTGAAGAAGGATTCTCTCCTGGAGGCTGCATTAGGGGTGAATAGCTGAATTCTACTGGAAGATAATCTGTGAGGAGGGGGTATGGTCATATGGTGATTTGGTCATATGGTGATTTGCTCGAAGGTGAGAAATGTCACAGTTATTTCATAAATTCCCGAGGACAAAAATAACATATAATTCACTTTTTTTTCTTTTTTGTTCGCATGGGAAGGCTAGTAAGTCCTTCATGTGGTAACAGCAGCATCCAGTGGGAACAATGCCATATTCCCTGCCTCCCTCCTGATTTCAAGCTTTGAAGTTCTGCACCAATTAGAAGAAAACCCTCAGATATTTTCTTACCACTTTAAGATATGCGGCGTGAAGTTCTTCTCTTCAACCTACTGTGTCATTTAAGTGTCTCTCTTACCCATTTTTCAGTGTCTACCTTGTGAAGGAAGTCAGTTTGAGGGTTTTCGGAGGAAATGTCATCCTCATCATCCGATCTGTCTAAGATGTGGTCCACTTTGATAATTTCCTTTAGCAAACTGCAAGCCACACAATCCAAACAGAGGCTGTTATTATGCCTTTGGGCCAGAGCTTGGGCCTGCACTACTCCTTTCTAAAGGGAGAACACTGAGATCTTCCCCAGTCCCAGGGAGCATCTGCTATCCTTGTACTGAGTTCTTTCTGGGTGAATAACACCTCACATATTATATCTCACAAGTAGAAATAGAGGGGCTGGATAAATAATAATTGGCTGAATCCATAAATTAACAGTGAGATTCCAAATTCCAAAGTAATTGCAGTTCTGTGCATATGTATGTATAAATGAGTGTGCACAATCAACAAATAAGTAAATTAATATCCTGTTTTAAAAAGTGGAGTTTAAAAACCTTATGTGGTTTAAATGGGCAGAGAGGAGTAGGTCTACAGTGCCCTCTTGATCTCCACCCCGCCAGCTGTCCTCCTCACAATGTTTACTAGCTTCTTTATTTTCAACAGAGATGCTATGCATAAATAAGCAGAGATGTTTATGTATGCATGTATGCGTGTATATATTATATATATTATACAGAATAGACCCTTTAAAATATATGGGAGGATATTTATACACTCCATTCTGTGTATACATCAAAGCACTTTGAATTTCTTATTTAATAACCTATTTTGGAGTCCATTTCATATTAGCACATACAGAGCGGCTTCGTTTTTAAAATGGCAATATGGTATTCCATTGTGGGGCTGTAAAATAATTTTCCAATCAGTTTTTTTATTAACAGATAGGTAGAATGTTTCCAATCATTTGCTATCACAAACAATGCTGGAATGAATATCCTTACACATCTATATGTGGTTGTTGTGTATGTGCACAGCATATCTATTGGAAAACCCGAAAAGTAGAACTTCTAGGTCAATAGATATGTATATTCTAAATTTTGATAGATTTTTAGCAAAGTATGCTTTAAAGAGGTTGAATCAATTTTCACTCCGAGCAAAAATGTGCCTGTTTCCCACTCCTTGTCTAAATCCATGTGCTATTAAAGTTTTTGATCCTTGCCAACTTGGTATGTTTAAACTGGTATCTCATTTAGTGTTAGTCTCATTTTATGTGTGAGGTTGAGTATTTTGCCTATGTGTATAAAACTCATTTGTATTTCCTTTTCTAAAACAAATGTGTTGATAGTCTTTGCCCATTCCCTACCACACTTTAATATTTTGCTTAATTAATTAGTACCACCCTTATTAATATTTTGCTGGAGAGAGCCTATATGTTCCCTCTCGTATGCTTTTGAATGGGTCACAATAAATGTGTGATATGTGTCTATAAAAGTAGTTCCAAGTCTATGGGATTTGAACCTAGAGGGTGGAGGTGTTGTCAGGGTTGAGGGGGTATTGAGTCACTTCACATCTAATCTGCTTAGAAAGGGATCCTGGAATCTATACAGATTTAGATAGAATGAATAAATATTGCTTATATGAAAAAACTTATATGAAAAACTGCCCAAAGTTTACAAATGCGTATGCTACTATCTTCAATAAATTATAAATGCATTTAAGAACATCTTTGATATCATAATAGCTTTCTTGCCATATGAGGGATTCTTGGAAAATCTTTTACCTTAAAAATGTTTTCCTAGTTAAAAAGGTGTTGATCATAGCTAAACTAGTATGCATTTTAAACACGTACTAGCAAATGTATATATGTGTTTATACCACTGTTTGTACTCCCTCTATGCCAGAAAGTATTTTAAATGGCTTAGATCTTCAGCAAGTGAAGATAATGAAGCCATAAAACAATCCACATATTTTCCCAAATTGAGATTACTTTTTTTAATGGGTATCTGTATCTGCCCAGTTTATGATGGTGGGCCCCTTTAGCTTCTCATAAGGCCTACTACAGTAAATATTCATGAGATTAAAATTAGATAAATTATAGTGAAGACTGTCAACCTAGACTCTGAACCTGGAAATCTCATCGTTTGCATACCGCTGGCCCAAGAACGTCTGCAGTTGGGACCCTAGAAACTGCTTCTGCAAGCTCAGTTCTGACTTACTCCTGCATTGCACCTTCAGTCACATTGAGCTTTTGGAAAAAGCCATTGTTTTTCTTAGTCAGCTGTTGTTCCTGGCAGTCCATCTTCATCTGCAGAGACATTTTGTTATTTAGGTTTGTGGGCGTGAGAGCCATTTCTTCGGCACTGTAAGGACAATAATGACAACAAGAGGGATTTTATGGCAGAAATGGCAACCACATCCTCTTCATTGACACCAGACTAACTTCTTCCTCAGGGCATTTGGCTTTAATTCCTCCCCTTTCAACTGGCTGTTCATCGTAAAGGACCCCAAAACAAGCTCTTAGATTTTGCTTCTCAAGTATATATGAGAAAGACCTGTGTGGCTGTCTCCAAGGACACACCTCTTGGCTGGTAAATGTGCGCTTTGAATGCTCGAAGGAGAATACTACAGAGGAATATATAATAACCAGCCTGGAAGAATGGGAACTTTCATTTTTTTAATCGCTTTCTGATTATATAATAATATGCATATTGTAAAAAGTAAAAAGGGCAAAAGAAAAAAGTAAAATCATTGGTACTTCAGAGATAACCAGAGTTAACCCCAGAGATATCCAGACTTAACCACTGTTAATATTTTAGTACATTTTATTTCTGCTTCTAGATTTGGTGTTTGTTTTATTCTTTTCCCATTGTTGACAACTAGGTTATTTCTAATTGCTTAGTAGTATAAATAATGCAATAATGATTATCTTTGTTTAGTAATTTTCAGTGTATGTCTAATTAGTTAAATACTTCCTTAGAGGTGGAATTACTGGTTCAAAGGAGTTTGACCAGATTTTTAAGGATTTAGACAAATATTTCCAAATTGCTTTCCTAAAGGTTTAACTAATATACACTGGCATCAGCTGTGTGTAAGAACAGGAACCTTCCTTCCAGTCTGATAGGCGGGTGTTCGCTGGACAGCAGAGGAGTGAATTGTTGGAGTACTTAAGTAGTGTGAAAAATAACGGAAAGGAAACAGGAAAGAAGGTAGAGACGTGTGAGATAGGCTCATAGAAAAAGCTGTAGGGAAAGGATAGATACAAAACATAACTCCTAGTTATAGGCAGAAATCAGGAGGGTGTGTCCAGGCTAAACAGGAAGACACCTTCTCTTCTGTATATTCAAGTGAGTGATAGCAGTAGATTGGCCTAGAACTAGAGGGTAGCCTGGCTCCCAGCACCCTGAGGGACAAGAGGGGATGACAGACTCATGGGAAGAGAAGGCATTTTTCTGCAAGGGTGATTTATGGCAGGGACTAGCAACAGGGAGGAATAATCAGGGAGAAGGGAGGCCCTGGGAATCACAGAGATGTTAAAACCATTTGCACAGACAAGGGCTTGGTCGATCATTCTGTGGCAGAATTGAGCTTTGTTCTTGACTTGTGTGGTATAAAAGGGGCCCCTGTGAAAGAGAAGCATCAGGAAAGAACTAGAACCTTTGATGTGTGATGGCACCATCCTTTTTAACTTTGAATGTGGCAAAAAATAAACCTTTGATTTCCCTCAGGAAGGTCACTATTGCCTGCCAATTTCATCACAGCCCCTATCTGGACAGTTTTGTCCATTTCCTGAGGGTGTTAAGCATTACAAAGGCAATTCCAAGCTCTGAAAGGTGAACAGACACTGAGATTTGCCTTGTTTACTGTTTTTATGGTCCAAAAAATAGAATACCATAAAAATAATAAAATTTCCTTATTCTGATAATTCTCTATCATCTCAATGTCTCCCCCAAGAGTGATTTCAAAGAAAACATCGTCTGTCAATTTAGGCACCTACCCAAATTCTGCCTCCACACATTCTCTCACATTTTACCTAACAATTAGAATCCTAACAATGGCTTATGTCTGTGCAGTCCCTAACAGATTACAAAGTACCTTTCACATATTTTCTCATTCAGTTCTCACAACAACATGATACAGAGGGTATTATCCCCATTTTATGTGTGTATTAACGGAGCCTATGGGAGATGATGTGATTTACTTAGAGTCAGATATAAGAAGTAAAGCCAGGACTCAGAGCTTCCATGTCCTCACAGCTACTGATAAAAAGATTTTCCCCACCTCCCACCTCCAAAGATGACCTAGACCAGGGCTCTCCAATAGAACTTCCTGTGTTGATGAAAATGTTCTCTACACTATTTGATACAGTAGCTACTAGCCACATGTTTCTATTGAGTACTTGAAATGTGGCCAGTGCAACTGAGGAACTGAATTTACAGCCACACATGCCCAACGACTATCATGTTGGACAACTCAGAATTTTCTAGAGCAACGGTCATCAAACTATGGCCAGCAGGCCAAATCCAGCCTGCCACCTGTTTCTAGAAATGACATTTTATTGCAACACAGCCACACCCATTCCTTTACAAATCATCTATGACTCCTTTTGCACTGCAATGAGAGAATTGAATGGTTGCAAGAGAAATCATTTGGCATAGAAAGGCTAAATGTTTACTATCTTGCCCTTTACAGAAGAAGCATGCCAACCCCTGTTCTAGACTATCACCTTCTTCTATGATGTTGGGTGTTTGCTACGATCCATCAGTTGAATGCAGTAAATAAGAGCTAAACTTTGGAGAATCAAGCTGAGTTCATAATCCAGCATCAACACTTCACAGCTGGGCCTTATCTTATTGTCTGGGGGCCTCACTTTTTCCTCTGCAGAATGGGGCTAACAATAGTAATACTAATATTATTAGAGATGTGAGGAGTAAAATTGTGCTTAACATGGCATCAGGTAAATAGCAGACACTTGCCAATGTTATCGATCTATCTATTAAAATAAAAGCTGTGGAAATGGGAGCAATTAGTAACGTTTAACTTCAAATAACACAGTAATAAAAATAATGCTTACACATGTGCAGCACTTTCAGTTCATAAGGCACTTTCACTAAGTTGTTTCCTCTGACCCTCATGATTACCCTGTGGTTAGCCAACCATGGCACATCTTGTTACCTCTATTTTATCAGAGGAAGAAACTGGAACACAGAGATGACCTGGGACTTGTCCAAAGTTTTATTGCTAGAAAATGGTAGAATCAGCATGGAAACCTGCAAATTCTGACTATAAGTTTTGCAGTCATCCTACTATTACACATAAAATTAATGCCCAATGCGTCTTAATGGGTTGGCTAACAGCCATCTTACCTCAAAAACAATCCATCTTTTGAAGCCAACTTTTGACTAGTGACATAGTGCAAGTCCTTAGTGCTCAAAGTGTGGTCTGCAGGCCAGCAGCCTCAGCGCTTCCTGGGAGCTTGATGCAAGCTGTCCAACCTAGTGCAGATACTAGATCCCACCCAGACTCATTGAACCAATGTCTGCCTTTTAGCAAGGTTTCAGGTAATTCATACACATATGAAAGTTGGGAGTTACTCATACTCTAGACCTTTTAAAATAGACTCCTTCTTCTCCCTACACCCCATGTCTTCATTCTTGTGTGCTTACCCCATTGGCTTTCTAGGATTGTTTGGTACAAATGGAGTGAATCCCTCCTCCTTCCCCCATATCCTATAAAAACTTTTAAAATTACACATTTAGAGAAGCATCAGTTTCAGTTACAAGGAACAATCAACTATTTTAAAAGACAGTTGATGAAATCACTAACTTACATTGTGAGGGGATTTCTCCAGGCCTGACCACCCAGATTACCCTCTTGGTTCCTGCTACCTGGACAATTTGGGATCTCAGAAATTTGTCAAAGCCATGGTACTAATAATCAGGGATTCGACGTCACTATAGGCTCCTGACAAGGTCATAATGAGACGGTACGCTGTGAAATAGTATATACCTGGAGATAGCTTTGCTCTTCCCAATTTGGTAATCCCAAATATCTGTAAGTTCAATGGAATAGACTAGCAACAGTCAAGTTTTCCTGTTCCAGTGGTGCCAGAGCCTCCTTTCCTCAGCACCAAAGGCAGAGAGGAACCATTTGAGTGGTAAACACCAAGGCAGGTAAGTGTGCTGCTGGACTTTCCCTTTATAACATTTCACTTGGAATGCAGTGCCTGTAACCCCCTCTCACAAGATTCTAGGTGTGCAGTGCTCTCCTGACTGGCTTCTACCTTGCCCTTCTAGCCTGTCTCTCAGCCTCCTCACTTCTCTTGCTAACTCTGGAGACTAAGTCCTTCTTCCACCCCAGCCCTCTGTCCACCCATCTCCTGGCCTCTGATATGGTGTTCTGGGATGCTCTTCCAATCTCAGCTTCTTCTACCACATCTGCTCCTTTCGTCTCTCACTTGAACAGAACATCTGGCTTTCCCACAGAGGCTCAAAGACTGACAATGAAGGACATGTCTTCTACCAGTAACAAGCAAGCATTTGATCTTCCTTTTTTTATTTTATTTTATTTTTTGAGTCAGACTCTCGCTCTGTCGCCCAGGCTGGGGTGCAGAGGTGCAATCTCAGCTCACTGCAACCTCCGCTTCCAGGGTTCAAGTGATTCTCCTGCCTCAGCCTCCTGAGTAGCTGGGATTACAGGCCCACTTGGCTAATTTTTGTATTTTTAGTAGAGACAGAGTTTCACCATGTTGGCCGGGCTGGTCTCGAACTCCTGACCTCAAGGGATCCACCCATCTTGGCCTCCCAAAATGCTAGGATTACAGGCGTGAGCCACTGCACCGGGCCCAAGCATTTGATCTTCTTGCAAACCAGGGATGCTCTTACTTTATACCTCTGTGACCTCGTCTCCTTCGAAGTTCCTCTTATTATTACACTTTTACAACACACCTTCACCTTCTTCCAGGACTTCAGTGCCAGGCTCACATTTCCCTCTCCCATTATTCTTGGTGAACTCGGCACCCATGGAAAGGGCCTAACAGTCTGACCTTACAAGTCCTAAGCCCCTGCTCTTAAGACACTCCTCTTCACCTATCAAAAACATTCAGCACCATGGAGATAAAGCACAGAACAGTTCTTAAAAACATAAACTTTAGAATCACATCAGTGTCTGAAACCTGGTTTTGTCATTTATTAGCTTTTTGGTTTGGGTCAAAATTTAATCTCTTTGTCTGAAAAATTGGTTTACTAAGATCTACCTAATTGGCTTGTTGAGAAGTTAAAGGCACCAGGTGAGGAAGGAGTTTCAGGTAGAGTGGCTGACGCACAATAGGTGCTCAAAAAATGTTGTCAAAGGAATGGAATGAATGCATACATGGTAGGCATGATTTTTATGGCAATATTTTAGGTCTCGTTATCACCCTGAGCATTTCTTCAGCCAAAAGCTCAAGTTCAGATGTGTCACCTTTCTTACGGTCTGTACTGCATGCCCTACCTAGTTAGGAACCAGACTCCATCAACAGCCCTCCCACAATGCCTGCTGGGCTAGTATCCAGCCTTCAGTCCCCACCTTATATCATGACTATGCTCCTACCTTTGGTTGTCCTGGGTGACCTCATATTTCTTTAGGAAAAATCACAAAATTCTTACTACTAGTTCCATCACAAAATAACAATAATAGTAATAGCTACTACTTGCTGAGTGGTTACTAATGCGCTAGGCAGTCTCCCAAGTGTTTTACATATATTACCTAATTTAATTCTTACCACCTTTTGAAAAGGAAGGGATCTTGGATTTAAACCCAAATCCAGTTAGTCTGGCTCCAGGGACCATGCCCTAAAGCAGCACTGTGTAGACCACACTTCGCGTACTGGGTTCTCACAGGTACTCGGCCAAATTCTTTTCTCTCTCTCTCTCTTTTTCTTTTCTTTTCTTTCTTTTTTTTTTTTTTTTTTTTTTTGAGACAGGGTCTCCCTCTGTTGCTCAGGCTGGAGTGCAGTGGTACGATCTCGGCTCACTGCAAGCTCTGCCTCCCAGGTTCACACCATTCTCCTGCCTCAGCCTCCTGAGTAGCTGGGACTACAGGCACCCGCCACCATGCCCGGCTAATTTTTTTTGTGTGTGTGTTTTTAGTAGAGATGGGGTTTCACCGTGTTAGCCAGGATGGTCTTGATCTCCCGACCTCGTGATCCACCCGTCTCGGCCTCCCAAAGTGCTGGGATTACAGGCGTGAGCCACCACGCCCAGACTTTTTTTTTTTTTTTTTTTTTTTGAGACAGGGTCTTTTTCTGTTGCCCAGGCTGGAGTTCAGTGGCACAATCACTGCTCATTGCAGGTTCGACCTCCTGGGCTCAAGCCATCTTCCCACCTCAGCCTCCCGAGTAGCTGGGACTGCAAGCATGCGCCACCACACCCGGCTAACTTTTGTATCTTTTTGCTTTTTGTAGAGACAGGTTCTCACCATGTTGCCCAGGCTGGTCTCGAACTCCTAGGCTCAAGCAATCCTCCTGCCTCAGCCTCCCAAAGAGCCAGGATTATAGAGATGAGTCATTGCGCCCGGCCTCTTCTGAGTCTCTGGTTAACTCCAAAATATATGGGCCCCAACAGCTGGTTTCTGTCTTCCTCAGCTCCTTCCCACTCTGCCAGCCCCTGAATGCTGCCAGCTCCCTCTGTGGGCGGTGACCTCGCCTCTGCCTTACTGCACTGATCAAGGCCAGCTGATGAGAATCTTCTCTCCACTGCCAAACAACTCCTGTGTGCAGCCTTTTTTCCATTCAAAATATTCCCGTGTTTTCCCTCATCATCTCCCACTCCCCTTCTATCTCAGAGAAAGCATGTGTGCACTCTCTTTCCTAAGGCTCCCTTCGTTCAGACCCTTGTTGGTTTTTGGGGATTCTATTCCATTAGTTATAAACGCTGTTCGCAATTTCAAAACCTCTGCTTGAGTGCCTCTGCTGGGATTCCACTGGGAGCTCCCAATTTCTTTGAGGAAACAGATGTATAAGTATACTTCTGACATCCTCAGGCTCTGCCTCCGCACTGTTGCTTTGCTTCTGTATTAAAACCTGCTTCTGTTTTCTCTCTTTTAGGAAAAAATGATTTCTTCACTCTGCATTTGGGCTGCCATCTTATCTCTCTCCTTCTTTTTAATAAAGATTTCTCAGGATTTCTCACGACACATTGCATATTACATATTCATATTTTAACTGCTTGTGGTATGGCTTGTTGATTACAAGGTTTTGTTGGTTTGTTTGTTTGCTTATTTTCATAGTTTGAGAGCTGTTAGTCATCCAATTTCCGTGGTGGGTTGGGAACAGTGCATTTGTTTCTCGCACTTATTTGACCCCAGAGCCTTTTCTGTGCTCAAAGCATTGTGCTTCATGGATTGTGCTTTGGTAAGCCCTTTTCAAAGATTATAGAGAAGCCTGGCACGGTGGCTCACACCTGTAATCCCAGCACTTCGGGAGGCTGAGGCGGGCAGATCACTTGAGGTCAGGAGTTTGAGACCAGCCTGGCCAACGTGGTGAAACCCCGTCTCTACTAAAAACACACAAAAATTAGCCGGACGTGGTGGTGGGCACCTGTAATCCCAGCTACTCTGGAAGCTGAGGCAGGAGAATTGCTTGAACCCTGGAGGCAGAGGCTGCAGTGAGCCGAGATCATGCCACTGCACTCCAGCCTGGGCAACACAAGCGAGACTCTGTCTCAAAAAATAAAGAAAGACATAAAGAAATAAAGATGGTAGAGAACCTAAGTGAAGTTCCCAGCCTACGGGAAGAATCACAAACAGCAGCACCCACAAACACAGGGCATCCTCATAGTCGCATCTTGGATCTCGTGACCTTGACCTTGACAGCTTTCCTGAGCCACCTCTTCTCATCCAGTGATGTAACCTCTTGGTGCTGCAGAAACAGACTTCGTCCCAGGCCGGCAGCTGGCTCTAACCCCAACATCTGCTCCACTCCAGCAGGAGGGATGGTGTAGTCCCAGCTTGTCCCACCTGCCAGCCACCAGGCCACCCCCTGCTCAATGAGTCCTGAGACGTGACACTTAAGAAGGATATGGGATCCCAGAGAAAACCCTAAGCCCTAAATGTGTTAGCAAAAGGCTTCGCCGAGGGCCCAGAGATTTCAGGAAGTAAACTTAGAGGGGAGTAAATATGTGTTGATTTATATTCCCACAGGAATCTAAACCTTTTAATGAGTACCTTTCCCTGGAGGGGTTTGTAATATTTTAATTTACTCTCAATTACTATTGTGAAACTAGTAGTTAAGTAGGCTACTCTGGTTTGAATGTGCCTCTTTTTAAACTGTGCCAGTACAGACAGATATCTGCACACTACTGAATACCTCCGAGCTTCACTTCTGTCATTAATAAAATGGGGAAACAATAGCTACCTTGCAGCTTACTGTAGGTATGCAGTGGCTTTATTGTACATAAAGCTCCTGGAACAGAGTAGGCATTAAAAAGAGAAATGACTGTCTGGAGGAGTCAAATACATAAAACCTCAGGCGGCGAAGATTTTGACCTCCGGGAGAAAGAGAATATTATTCATTGTACATCTGGGAAGTCCCTGGCTTCTAGCCCGTTAGTAAAATGATAAAATCACTGTTTTTAAGGAAATTGAGTTCAAAGAAAGAAAAAGAAAGGGAGTAAGGGGGAGGGAGAGAAACTGTGTCATTTCCTATGATAGTAAAGAAAGTTCTTGGAAGCTGAAACTCTCCCGTTAGACTCTAAGCAAGAGTGATGTCAGAGCTGGAACTATAGAAATTGTTAGCACGTCGAATGAACGAAATTAGGGCAGGTAGTTCCTACAGGGCTTCATAGATATTTAGGAAAAAAACATCATTGTGAAATCCCCTTACGTGGTGGTAATAGCAACCTCATCTCTATTACCAAATGTTCATCAGTTACAAATCTAAGGCTCTGCGCTAAGTAAGGCAGAGGATAAAAGGATGTCCAAACAGTCTTTAACTTCAGTTTAGATAAAGATAAATAACAACAATAGTTAGTAGCATGCTGACTGCAAATAATGGTTTATGTAAGTGCTACAGGATTGTAGAGAAACCATTATGGAAAGAATGCCTACAGAAGGGTAGCCTGGATTTTCTAATACTTTCCAAGAGCTTCACACAGTAAAAGAGACCTGAATCAAATATTGTTCTGATGAATGAAGAAGAGGGAAGAAAGATTTCCAGGGAAGGGGAGCTTTCTTAAATGCCAAGGCAAGGGATTTAAAGTTATCTAGAAGTTGAGGAAAAGAAAGTTTGTCTGACAAATCGTATTGTATGAAAGTAATTGTAATTCAATGAATGTTTTAACCAATTAAACAGAAGAGAAGGCAATGGTGGAAGACACATTTATATAAGTAAATATTCATCGTCATATCTATACAGCCAACTCTCCTTATCCGTGGGTTCTGTGGATCCAAAATATTTTAAACGTTACCCTAAGCGAACTAACACAGAAACAGAAAACCAAATACTGCATGCTCTTACCTGTAAGTGGGAGCTAAACATTGAGTACACATGAACACAAAGGAGGGAACAACAGACGCTGGGGACTACTTGAAGGTGGAGGGCTGGAGGAGGAGGAGGATTGAAAAACTACCTATTGAGTACTATGCTATTACCTCGATGATGAAATAATCTGTACACCAAACCCCCGTGACATGCAATTTACCTGCGTAACAAACCTGCACATGTACTCCTGAACCTAAAAGCTAAAAAATATCTTCAACAATATAAAATAACAATACAACAATAAAATAATAAAAGTTTAAGAACAATACAATATAATATTGACATAGCATTTACATTGTCTTAGGTATTAGAAGTAATCTGGAACTGATTTAAAGTATACATAGGAGGATGTGCATAGGTTATATGCAAATACTACACCATTTTATATCAGGCACGTGAACATGCGGGGTGGTTTCTGGATTTCAGAAAGGAGGAAAGAAAAGGGAAAAAGACAGGAAGGCAGGCAAGCACACTGGCAGAAGGGAGCTAGTGAGGATTTCTGTGCCAGGACTGACTTGGTCATATCATGCCCTTGCACAGAAACCGTGTCTTCCTTTCTGAAACCTGGCTTGAAATTGATGTCAGGACATGGTTTCTGGGCTGTTGGAAAAGGAAGCAGTGGTTTCTGGGCACTGGTGTGGGTTTTCCAAGATAAGCCCTGTGAGTCTCATTTCCTTTCCTTTGCATAACAGAGCTAAGGCTTTTGTAGAACAGTCAAACCTTGAAGAACACGGGTTTGAACTGCGAGAGTCCACTTATATGAGGGTTTTTGAAAATAAAAGTTACCCCGAGTGTGCCTGCCTCTCCTGCCTTCCCTTCCACGTCCTCCACCTCTTCTGCCTCTGCCACCCCTGAGACAGCAAGACCAACCCCCGGCTTCTCCTCCTCAGTCTACTCAACCTGACGATCACAAGGATGAAGACCTTTATGACTCACCTTTATGATTCACTTCCAACATAGTAAATATGTTTTCTCTTCCTTATGATTTTCTTTATGACATTTTCTTTTCACTAGCTTACTTTACTGTAAAAATATGGTATATAATACAAATAACGTACAAAATCTGTGTTAATTTACTGATTATGTAATTGATAAGGCTTCTGGTCTACAGGTGGCTATTAGTAGTTAAGTTTTGGGGAGTCGAAAGTTATACCTGGATTTTTGACTGTGTGTGGGGTTGGTGCCCCTAACCCCGGCATTGTGCAAGGGTCAACTCTTATTTATTAAGTACCAATAACTGTCCTAAACACCTTGCATATATTAACTCATTTAATTCTCAAAATAGTCTCATGTGGTTGCTATCATTGTCTCCATTTTACAGATAAAGATGGTCTCACAGAAAAGTCACGCAGCTGGGAATTGGTAATACATGTTACATATGATTTAGATCTAATTTTAAAAATAGTTAAAATTAATTTTAGATTTGTGGTATTTAATTTCAAGGCAGATGAGAACTTGTGATAGGTTTATGCTACTTATTTCCCAATATGTATTCTCCCTTTTGCTGTCATAACAGAATCCTGAGGTTTTAGCCCAATGCGTGCCTGCACAGAAAAAAAACACATTTTCCTGCCTCTTTTTCATCTCCAGGTGACTAAATTCTGGACAATGTGAGTTAGGTGGAAGTGTATGGGCAACTTAAAATGAGAGGCATGCCCTGTGTTCCCCTTCTCCTGCTCACTGGTGGGGATGTGAGGATGTGAGTGTGATGGCTTGAGCAGCTATTTTGGGCAATGAGGAAGCCCACACCCTAAATGATACCCCATTGGGATAGGAGAGCTGACAGCTGAAAGAATCACGGTCCCTGTCCAAATCATGAATATTTATTTATTTATTTTAACTTTTATTTTTGGTTCCGGGGTACATGTGCAGATTTGTTATATAGGTAAATTGTGTGTCACAGAGGTTGTGTGTACAGGTTATTTTGTCACCCAGGTAATAAGCATAGTACCTGATAGGTAGTTTTTGATCCCCACCTTCTTCCCATCCTGCACCCTGAAGTAGTTCTCAGTCTGTTGTTCCCCTGTTTGTACCCATATGTACTTGATGTTTAGCTCCCACTTGTAAGTGAGAACATGTGGCATTTGGTTTTCTGTTTCTGTGTTAGTTTGCATAGGATAATGGCCTCCAGCTCCAACTCTTTCAGCTCCATCCAAGTTGCTGCAAATGAATGATCTCGTTCTTTGTTATGGCTATGTAGTAGTCTGTGGTACATATACACCACATTTTCTTTATCCAGTCTACCATTCAAATCAGGATTTTTTTTTTTTTTTTTTTTTTGAGATGGAGTCTTGCTCTGTTGCCCAGGCTGGAGTGCAGTGGCGCGATCTTGGCTCACTTCAAGCTCCACTTCCCGGGTTCATGCCATTCTCCTGCCTCAGCCTCCCGAGTAGCTGGGACTACAGGCACCTGCCACCCCACCCAGCTAATTTTTTGTATTTTTAGTAGAGACGGGGTTTCACCGTGTTAGCCAGGATGGTCTCGATCTTCTGACATCGTGATCTGCCCGCCTCGGCCTTCCAAAGTGCTGGGATTACAGGCGTGAGCCACCGCGCCTGGTCTTTTTTTTTTTTTTTTTCGAGATAGAGTTCTCGCTCTGTCACCCAGGCTGGAGTGCAATGGCACAATCTCAGCTCACTGCAACCTCCGCCTCCCGGGTTCAAGCGATTCTCCTGCCTCAGCCTCCAGAGTAACTGGTACTACAGGCGCCTGCCACCATGCCCGGCTAATTTTTGTATTTTTAGTAGAGATGGGGGTTTCACCATGCTGGCCAGGCTGGTCTCGAACTCCTGACCTCAGGTGATCCGCCCACGTTGGCCTCCCAAAGTGCTGGGATTAGAGGCGTGAGCCACTGTGCCAGGCCGGGAATTTTTATATAGAAGAATAAAACTCTATCTTTAAGCCATGTTAATTAGGGGTTTCTATCACTCACAAAAATTTAGTGTAGATAATATTAAATTTAATTGTTTGTAGACATTATTTAAACTTTTAAAAAACCTTTATTTACCCTATTTATAAGTTGACTTATTCAATTTATAAGAATTGCATAAGTGCTTAGAAAACTTTTACTTATGCTTATCAGTCCCTTCGGGCCTTTGAAATGTTTAAGAGGAAAATATATAAAATGTAAAAATTTAATTTAAACTCTTTCAGGAAGTTTAATTAACTAGTTGGTAAATGAGGTTAATTGTTTGAGGAATTTAATCTGTTTAATTTATTCATTAATTGAACACTCATTAATCAAAGAATGTGTGAAAGTAATGTTTTTTAATAAAAATTAATTTATAAATAGAATACTAATGCGCTTAAGTTAAATTTAGATTAAAAACTAGGTTTTTAAATTTGTAATTTAAATAACTGCATATTAATTTAAGCACAAGCGGATACAATTAGCCTTTTCTGCATACAAAACCTTTTCTCAGACGTTTAACAATACAGCTGACAGCAGATGAGAAAAATGGAGACATTGAGGAAGCTGCAAATATGTGAGGAATGAGAAGAAAATTTTAATCTTTCTGCTGGTGCAAAACAAAAAAGAATGAGATAGAATACAGATTTTCTCACATTCTTTTTCCAGCTAAAACATCAACCATCCTACCTCCCCTAAGATGAGATAACAAAAAGATATTACATTTTATTTTTAACCAGAAGTACTGGTTACGAAGTTTTAAATTATTATGTCTTATGTAGATTCTGACTTCACCTGTACTCTCAGTGACTTTGTACAGAAATCAGGAAGATGCTTTGAAAGAAACACTGTGCAATGAAAGTGCCACTGATGTGTCTAGCATTGACATGCTTTTGGCTGCAAAGACTTGAGCCCACACGTTGCCTGAAACCTTCAGTCCTTTGAAGCTGTGATTTCAAGACCCAGATGTTGACAGCTGCTCAGAATGCTTCTCAGGAAGAGGCTGGGACTTCCAAGACCCCATTCCTGGGTTGGGTGATGAGTGGTTCTGATACTGTGAAAACTCACAAAAGACTATGTAATGATACCAACCACGTGAGACTATTTTGAGAATTAAATGAGTTAATATATGCAAGAGACTTTGTGAGTGGGACAAACAGAACTCAGAGAGTGTCTGATCTACCATGGCTGGCTACATAATTTGGGGGCCCCAATGAGAAATGAAAATGTAGGGTCTCTTGTTCAAAAATTATTAAGAATTTCAAGACAGTGACAGCAGAACGTTAAATCACACGTGAGGCTCCTGGGATTGCACAGATCGCAGGCCTTCAAAGCTGGTTAGTAATGTGTGCGGCCTGGGGAGTCAGGGTTCAGGGGAGGGTTGTTAGGCCTGCCACCAAGAGGACGAGAAACTGATCGGGGTAGCCAACCTCTGCCCTCTAGACCAGTGGTCCCCAACCGTTTTGGCACCAGGGACCAGTTTCGTGAAAGACAATTTTTCCACAGACAGTGGGAGGGATGGTTTTGGGATGAAACTGTTCCAACTCAGATCATCAGGCATTAATTAGATTTTCATAAGGAGTACAACCTAGATCCCTCACATGCACAATTCACAGTAGGGTTTGTGTTACTGTGAGAATCTAATGCCTCTGCGGCTCTGACAGGAGACTGAGCTCAGTAGCAATGCTCACCTGCCTGCTGCTCACCTCCTGCTGTGCGGCCCAGGTCCTAATAGGTTACCAGTCCTAACTGGTACCTAACAGGGTACAAAGTCCACAGCCTGGGGGTTGGGAACCCCTGCTCTAGACCAGCACTGATGGTAGGTTTTATACATCAGTGGAGTTTCACGTAAAAGTTTGGGGAAAAAAATGATTCTTCTACCAGGAAAAATTAAAAGGAAGAAAAAACAAAAAGGAAGAAACTGATTTTAATCCTTTTATTTTATACTTTAAATAATTGTTAAAAACCACACAATAGTCGGGTGCAGTGGTGCACACCCGTAGTCCCAGCTACTCAGGAGACTGAGGTGGGAGGATCGCTTGAGCCCAGGAGTTTGATTCCAGCCTGGGCAACATAGCAAGACCCCATTCCTCCCCCCTCTGCCGACCAGGTTACACACTAAGAACAGTTTTTCATTGTAAGAATTCAAACAATATAAAAATATACAGACTTTAAAAATGAGGAAACGCTTTACTTGCCTTATAATTCCACTTCTCACCCCAGAGGTATCACTATATTGATGTGCATTCTTCCCAAGGACATTTATCCATGTGTTGATGCATATCTATATACATATAATGTCTTTTATATAATCCAATACTTCTTTGTTATTTCGTTTTTTTTGAGATGGAGTTTCACTCTTGTTGCCCAGGCTGGAGTGCAAAGGTGCGATCTCGGCTCACCGCAACCTCTGCCTCCCGGGTTCAAGTGATTCTCCTGCCTCAGCCTCCCGAGTAGCTGGGATTACAGGCATGGGCCACCACGCCTGGCTAATTCTGTATTTTTAGTAGAAATGGGGTTTCGCCATGTTGGCCAGGCTGGTCTCAAACTCCCAACCTCAGGATTTTGGGATCCACCCACCTCGGCCTCCCGAAGTGCTGGGATTGCAGGTGTGAGCCACTGAGGCTGGCCTCCAGTACTTCTTTGTATGTAACATTGCTGTGATCATGCTACATGTTCTGTCCTAAAACTTTTTATTTCTTAATATGTCATGGAACATTCCATGTTAGTCTCATACATCTTCTTCATTCTTTTTAATTATTGCATAATATTTCACAACATAAATTATCCTAAAGTATATAAGCCATTGATTCCTCCTATTCCTGAATATGTCATTTCTTTTCAATTTTGGGGGGCTGTTATTCTTACCACATATAATGCTACAATGAATGTCCTTGTTTGTGCTTCTTTTTGCACATACAAGACTTTGTTCTTTTGTTTTTGGGGATAGATACCTATACGTAGATTTGGTGGGGCAAGAGAAACTGAGATGCAAAAAACCTACTCCACAGCATGCAGGTTTTAATGGTAAAGTTGATCAAAAAGATAATAAGCTTGGTAAACTTATAAACTGTGTTCTTCTGAAAGCAATTTGTGATTTTATACTAAAAGCCCTACAAATGTATCTTATCTTTTGACCCAGAAAATGTGCCTCTAGGAATAATCAGAGATCTTTGTGAAGACACCTCTCTATAAAGATATTCATAGCTATTCTATTTGTAATAGTAATAAATATTTCGATATTCAGAAAGCTTGTACCAATATGCCCACCGGACTGTTAAAATATTAAAAATCATTTGTTATGAATGATAGATAGATGCTACTTGGAGTGCTTCTCCCAAATGCCCCCACATGCCTGCCTCCTGGATTCTCCCATGAAATTAGGCCCTGCCATTCAAACACCAAGGTTAATGCCTGGAACAGTCTGGGGCCTCCAGAACCCAGCTCTGGCCTGACAGCCTGGTCATCCTGAGTGGTGGGTCCATGCCTTCCTGGCTGTTAAATGCTTTCTATGTATTTTCAATTTAATTCCTAGAAATAATGTAAAAGTTCAACGATAGGAATTGATTAAAAGAATTATGATAATGGAAGGCCATGCAGCTATTAAAAATGGTGCTCTGCCATGGAATACTATGCAGCCATAAAAAAGGATGAGCTCATGTCCTTTGCAGGGACATAGATGAAGCTAGAAGCCATCATTCTCAGCAAACTAACACAGGAGCAGAAAACCAAACACCACATGTTCTCACTCATAAGTGGGAGTTGAATGATGAGAACACATGGGCACAGGAAGGGGAACATCACACACTGGGGCCCGTTGTGGGGTGGAGGGCCAGGGGAAGGATAGCATTAGGAGAAATACCTAATGTAGATGACGGGTTGATGGCTGCAGCAAACCACCATGGCACGTGTATGCCTATGTAACAAACCTGCATGTTCTGCACATGTATCCCAGAACTTAAAGTATAATAATAAAAAAAGAAATTTGCCAATCCAAAATATAGAAAATAGGAATTAAGCAATGTGTTTAATACCACAGAAAAGGCAGGTAAAGAGAATTGTAAAACGTTCACATGGAAACATTTTAAAACTCCAACCCTATCACCCATTATCATCCTATAAATAATTGGATGCAGAGGTGTCCTTTTAAAACAAAAAGGTGCTCTGAAGATATGATTGGAATATATTGCCAAGTGAGGGGAAAAAGCAGTATACAAAACAATACTCATTATGTAATCCCATTGGAAACATTTATTCATATTGATTCACAGAGAGGGCCAGGCATGGTGGCTCACACCTGTAATCTCAGTACTGTGGGAGGATGAAATGGGAAAATCACTTGAGCCCAGGAGTTTGAGAGCAGCCTGGGCAATATAGTGTGGCCTGTCTCTACAAAAAATTTAAAAATAAGCTGGACATGGTGGTGCATGACTGTGGTCCCAGCTACTCGGGAAGCTGAGGTGGGAGGATCACTTGAGCCAGGGAGGTTGAGGCTGTAATGGGCCATGATTGCGCCACTACACTCCAGCCTGGGTGACAGAGTGAGACCCTGTCCCCCTCCCCCACAAAAAAGAGATTCATAGAGAAAGTCTAAAAGAAACAAAAATGTCAACAATGGTTATATCTGGATGATGAGATTATACTTGATTTTTGACACTTGCTCTTGTTGCTTACCTGCAGTTTTCTTTTCATTCTTTGCAATAAGTTTGGCAAGTCTTATAATTAGGAAAACAATGTGTTGCTTTAAAAATAAACTAAAACTAATGCTAGTTAACAGGAAAAGGCAGGCTTTTTTCTTGATTTGTGCCACATTTGCTGTACTTACTTGAATTCAGCTCCCTGGGGCAGGGACTAAAGGGTAAGCCAAGAAGGCTGACAGAAGCTCAGCAAAAACATCTGGAGGGATGGAGGCTGGGGATAGAGGGAGGAGAGGCAACCATATCGGCCAACATTCTGTCTCCTTTCACTCTTTCTACTTCCTTTTGTTCAGACAGTTCATTTTAGTGAGGCCTCAGGCATTTTTGAAATTCTGCAGCGTGGGGAGCTGCCAGGGTCAGCCTTTCTGTTCTTTCATGTCTGAGCATATGTGACAGTTTTTCAGAGAATATATATAAGAGAATGTTCCATTCTCTAGTTGGGCTTTCATCCAAGGTATAGATTTTCAGAGCTGTGGACACAGCCACTGAAATAGCACTCACATGCCCCGGCACAGGATGGGGCAGCAGCTTTTATCTCAGTAGGCTCTGGTTAGAATGGTCTTTTCATAATGATAAACCTTTGAACAACAGGGAGTGTACCCAAGCCACAAGGAAGACTCTTGACCACATTTGGAGGGCTGACACGGAACATGTCTTCCCACCTAGCCAATTCCTGGAGAAGGTACTATCATGGCCAGGGACCTTGTATGATATGATGGATGCTCAACTCCAGAATTTTACCTGCTTAAAAACTGGGGGCCAATCTACAGATGTCTCCCTTTGGCCATTGGGATAGCAACTTGAAATGCTCAGTGAGACCCCAGGAGGAGCAGGCCATGGGCTCTAATGCTCTGAGATTGTTGGCATCAAACAGAACTCCAGAACCATAGACTTCATGGGACATTTTTACAACCATGGGCCTAGGAAGAAAGCTACGATGCCCATAGTAGGTGGTCCCTTAGTGATGTGATATCAGAAATGAACCTTCTTCTGAAAAGAGAACCACCATACAATCCAGCAATCCCACTACTGGGCATCTCCCCAAAGGAAAGTAAATATATCAAAAAGATACCTGGCTAGGCATAGTGGCTCTTATCTGTAATCCCAGCACTTTGGGAATCTGAGGTGGGAGGACTGCTTGAGCACAGCAGTTTAAGACCAGTCTGAGGAACATAGTCAGATCCTATTCTACAAAAAATAAAACATTAGCTGAGTGTGGTGGTGCACACCTATAGTCTCAGTTACTTGGGAGACTGAGGTGGGAAGATTGCTTAAGCCCAAGAGGTCAAGGCTGCAGTAAGCCATGATTATGCCACTGCACTCCAGCCTGGGAAATGGAACAAGACTCTGTTTCAACGAGAACAAAAAGATACCTGGACTCATATGTTTATTGCAGCACTATTCACAACAGCAAAAATATAGAATAAACCTAAGTGTCCATCAGTGGATGATTGGATTTAAAATGTGGTAGAATGTGGAAAGATAGACCATGGAGACTCAGGAGGGTGAAGGAGTGGGAGGGGAGTGGACGATGAGAAATTACTTAATGGGTACAATGTATGTTATTCCGTTAATGGATACCCTAAAAGCCCCAACTTGACCATTACACAATCTATGCCTGTAACAAAGTTGCACTTGTACAATTGATACAAAATTTATACAAACTTAATTTATACAAAAAAGAAGTGAGCCTTCTTTACTCCCACTTTCCCTAGTATCCACCCTATGACTCCGCAATCCTTCTGATAAAGCTTCATTCCTCAGTATGATTAAAGAAAAGGTCCTTACAAAATTGTAAATATCCTTGGAACAGTGTCCTATCAGCTATGATCTCTTAACTATGACTGAATTTATTGCATCCCACTCCTGCCAGTTCACAGATATTCCCTGCAGAGAGGGATATATAAGGTGACTTGAACAGTGGTAATAAAAGGCTCCTATTATGGATTTCACTTCAGGAAGACAGGCCCAGGAGGATTCTAGAAGAGAAGGCAAGAAGGAGGGTAGTTGGGACAGGAGAAGCCATGGAACCAGGAATATGCACGGTTCTCATTATTCCTCACTGATCCTCATTATTCACAGATTGCATATTTGCTAATCCACCTACTACGTACAGTTTGTTTGCAACCCCCAAATAAATGTGCCTCATGCTGTTGAGGCAGACATGTGCAGAGTGGCAAAAAGCTTGAGTCACACAATGCACATATTCATTTAAAGTGGACTCCAAGTGCAATGCTGAGGCACTGTCCAGCGTTCCTAAGCTCAGGAAGGCTGTGAGGTGCTTTGTGGAGAAAATACACGTGTTAGATAAACCTTGTTGTTGGCTGTGAACTGGATGTTAATGCATCAACAGTAAATATTGAGCACAGTGTCTTTAAACAGAAACACATATAAAACGAGGCTACATATTGATCATTTGATAAAAATGTGACTAGAGAGGGGACCAGCAGGGGGGAGGTTGGGGGAAAGAGAAGAGACAGAAATGGATGACCGTTATAACCCCAATGGGGAGTGCTATCCAGCCCAGGGTCCCCCTCTCCCCACAATGTCAGGCTGAGCCTCCAAAAGATAATGTTAGAAAAAAAAATGTGACTAGAGGCTTGAAAGAGCCTAACCCTGTACTTCCCCTGGGAGCAACAGTTTTGCATTTGCTAATTCAGTGTTCACAGAGACTCTACAGAACAGAACTACCAGGTATAATGAGAATTAACTGTAATCTGAAATTTTGGACAGAGAACAAATAGTAAATAATAACTATCTGTAGTAGTAAAATAAATGACAGATATATTTGTATCTTTCTATTATTTACATGAGAAAAGATGAATGAGAGCCTCGGCTTGGCAATTTGTAAAGTTTATCAAAATCTAGAATTCTTTGGAATAAATCAGTGTCTCCTAAAGCTTCTAAAATTTCTCTTTCACTCCTCCCAAGAAATTATTTAGGGCAGCAACTCTTTCCCTGTGAGGATAGCCTCGTTCATGGACATAACTTTGCAGTACTCACTGTATGAAGCCAATCATACAAAAAGACCAAGAAAACACCACCTAAAAAGATTTAGCCCATTTTACCTTAATATAGAATTGTTATTTAATTTTATGAGACAGGCAAATATTCTTGAAAGTCAATTTCTAAATAGCTATAAGAATACTTAGAAAAAATCTAGGAACAGTCCTTCACCAGTGAGCATTCTTTTCAACATCTATTCTCTGTTCCTGGTTTAGATAAAGATTGGCAGCACTGCTCCCTCTGTGAGCACTTTGGGTTGTGATCCTCCTCGTGCTGATTTACCAGTCCTGAAGTATGGCTTCCCAGGAGCCGCTGAGGGTAAAATCAATGTTAACTTACACTCATCTTCAGCACACTGTTTGCACTGAAGGAATGGTCCTAGCCTTACTAGTGTTGGATTTTAACAAACTAGGTGAGAAGAAGCCTCAGCTAGTTGATAAAATTCATTTGTAATGAGGACACAGAGGTCCAGTGGAAACTGGGCATCAGAAGAAACAGGCGAGGTCACATGGTGCTTGTCAGGCAGCCCAGCCTAGTTGGTGGGGGGTGGGGGCAGGGAGGGAGGAGGGCCAGAGAAATAGGGTGCCTGCCTCCTTCCCAAGGTAGGGATTGCAAGGCCTGAATCAAGAAAGGAAGGTCAACAGCCTTGAGGAGAATATGTTTTGGTGACCAGGTGTGACCCTCAGAACAGGACAGGCAGCCAGAGGCTCCACAGACCTCTACCCTGAGAGGAGCAGAGCTGAGCTGGGAAGAACTCTGTGTTCCTGAATGTGGCCCACAGAATCCATTCCGCACAGCATTTGATAAGATTGACTTAAGAGGAGACAATTATGATTGGAGTAGGGGTCATGAGCTAAAACTGGCCGATGAATGGATGGAGGTGAGAACGAATGAAGGGAGGCAGCAAAGGCAGGGCTGCCTGCTCGAGTCTTTCAACAGTCCTACAGGAAGGGCTTAGCTAGAGATTCGGACCCACGTAGCCAGGCATTAAAGCCCAAGAAATGGGCTCAGCCCCTCCTTTTGGTTCTCTAATGGGGGAAAACTGGCCTTGTAAGAGCCTGTCATTGTATTATAGGACAATGGAAATACCCAGCCAGAGAAATAGAAGTCCAATGTACCAAGAGGGGAGTGGGACATAATTGGTGTTATCAGTGCATCACTCAATGGATTTGTATTGGATATTTTAACTTTTCCCCCCTTCAAGGGACCAGATGAGAACTAAATCTGTATAAATCCTTGGGTGTGACCTTTAACTCAATCCAAGGCACAATAGGTTTTCAACCACATTTTCTCTGTGCAGAAAAAGTTTCCAAGAAGGAAATGGAGGAGAAGCCTCATTACTCCCTTCTGTCAGTCTCTTACTGTGATCCCTCCATAAGCAGTTTCCTGTGTTTCTCACAATTAATTTTAATAATTTCATTTTTGCAGAGAATTCTGTATAATTGAGAAAGTATGTCAACTTGTTCCTATAATTTTTTCAGAAGTATGCAGCAGGTGACAGATTTTGTCCCTTACAAAGATAAACATAACGAAAGTATGAAATGTTTGTTCATCCAAATGTTGTTTATGCAAAGATCAGAGCAAGTATTTCGTTTGGGTGTGGCAGTTCAAAGAAACACCTTGATGACCTTTGCGGCTTATCTAATAACGCTAGCATTATGTTTTTTTTGTGATCACGGAAGCGGGTGCAGGGGTGGCATGATTTATAATTCAACAGTCTTGGTTTAGCCAGTCTAGAACACTTAGGAGCATATAATCAGGTCAAGTTTTCAGACCCACACAAAGCCTGCAGGGTGGCTGAGACCTAGGCTGGCCTTAGTCCTCAACTTTTTGAGCCAACATACACTTGAGTCTGCAGTGGATGGACAGTTTCCCACCGCTTGCCTTCTCTTTCTCCTCTTTCAAAGTCCTTCTGTCTTTTACCCCTTTGATTCTGGTTTGACAATTCCATTCTTCTCTCATTATTTGGTCAACTGGTAGACTATGTGTGGGAGCGGGAGATTGAGGGGTTTAGAGAATCATGTGGTTGGAGAATGAGGGTAGAGGATGTTAGAGTGACCTCCGAGTGAATTATCAATAAGACCATAAGACCTTTCTCAATGCAAATGTTAACCTCCAGCTAGTACATATTAAGCTGATTATTCTGCTTAAAGGTCATTTGTTTACTGCCTCACCTTGAACCACATTATAAAAGGTTCCCTTGTTTACTTTTGTTTAGAACTGGAGAGAGGATTTTAAAAATTTAATCCCAAGGGTCCCAGAGCCTGGCTTAAGGAGCTTAAGGGTCTGCTGGCCCCAGTTTAAGTTTTGTTCTTCTGACACAATGCCGAGAAAAGCATTGATTCCAGTTCAATTCTCAGGTTTGTTTATTTGGTTTTGCTTTTATGCAGTTGGGGGAAAATAGAAAGAAAAATGGCATTAAGTTCAAGTGTGGCCACCCTTTCTATTTCAACAAGTAGTATTCTACTAAACTCAGTAAAGACTTGCCGCTTGGGAGAACTAAGGCGGAGGGCACTCTTCTTTATCGTGCAATTCTGACCTGGCAGACATAGCATTCTGGGTTTACATCTATTATGTCACTAATCCTGACAACACCTCTGTAGGGTACTTGATAATATTCTCAATTTAACAATGAGTAACAACTTCTGGGAGGAGGGTGACTTGTTCAAGGTCCTACAGCTAGTAAGTGGTAAATCAAGAACTTAAGTCCAAAATTTTCTAACCGGAAAGCTAATACTTTCTCTACTTGTTTCTAAAAACATGTATTTAATTGATAACTATTTTTGAGCATCTGCTATGTGTCAGGTACTGTGCTGGAGTGGAGAATGCAAGCATGCGTAAAGATACAGTTCCTGTCCCTGCGGAGCTTGCAGGCCACTTGGCTCTGGTCAGGTGCAATGTGTTAAGTGCTAGGGAAGGTTGCGGTGGCAGCACATAGGAGAGGCACTCGGCTGAGTTTCTGGGGCTCAGACGCGTAAGTCCAGAGAAAGTACATCTACAGAAGCCCGAAAACAGTTTCTCAAATTTTACTGTAAATGTGAATCATTCTAGGATCTTGTTAAAATGTAGGTTCTGATTCAGGAGGTCTGGAGTGAGGCCTAAAGTTCTGCTTTTTTTTTTTTTTTTTGAGACAGAGTCTTGCTCTGTCTCCCAGCCTGCGATCACCACTCACTGCAGCCTTGACCTCCTCCCACCTTAGCCTCCCGAGTAGTTGGGACTACAGATGCGGATCACCATGCCCAGCTAAGTTTTTGTATTTTTTATAGAGACAAGGTTTTGCTGTGTTGCCAGGCTGGTCTCAGGCTCCTGGGCTGAAGCGATCCTCCCACCTTGGCCTCCCAAGGTGCTGGGATTACAGGTGTGAGCCACCGCACCTGGCCGATTCTGCCTTTCTAACAAGCTCCCGAAGAGGCTGTTGCAGCTGGTCCATGGATCACCCTGTTAGTAGTAAGGCTCTGAAGAGCAAGAAAGGGTTAGCCAGGTAGAGAGGTGTGTCGGTGGTGACAGCTTCCCCAGTAAAGATGCAGAATGGGCAAAGCCTTATGGAGAAAAGGATCAAGATCATCTTCAGGGAACTGTGGTTTCCCCAGTAATCCTGGACTGTGGGGCATGAGGTGGTGAGGTAGCTCAAGAAGGGGCTGGAGGTGAAAGTGAAGTAAATGGAAACCCATCATACAGGGCCCCATAAGCCTTGTTAAGGGGCTGTGTCTATTACTGAGGGCAGTGAGATGCCATTCACTGTTTTAAGCTGATGAGTTCCTTTATCGGATCTGTGCTTTCCAAAAAGCACACTGACTACAGTGTGGAAACTGCATTAGAACAGTGTTTTCAATGCTGTCTCCATGTCAGAATCACGTGGGGAACTTTATAAAATGCCAATGCTCAGCCACCGTCCCTAACCCCGACCCCAGACAATTCAAGAGGATCTCTAAGGCAGAAGTTCTTAAAGCATGGTCCCTGGACCAGCATCAGCAAAAGCATCAGGGAACTTGTTAGAAATGCAAATTCCCAGGCCCCCTCCCAGACTTACTGAATCAGGAACTCCGGGAGTGGGCCCAGCAGCCTGAGGTTTAAGAAGCTCCCCAAGGGCCTCAGGTACAGCTAATGTTTGAGAACCACTGGATTAGAGGGAGAAAAGTGGGGAGAGAGAGAGGATACTTGACCAATCAGAAGCAGAGAGATGATGATGTCACAGAACCCACATTGGCTCTTATTAAACTCGAGGATCAACATCATCTTGATAGAGTCCCATAGTGTCTCAAAGTGGGGAGGTTAGGATGCTGGTTAGTCATGGAGTATTTTCAGAGTGGAAGTTGATCAGTGACGTTTTGTCAGGGATTGATCCAATTTATAAACTAGGTAAGTTTCTGTGTTATTGACTGAATTGTTTTTCCCTCCAAATTCATATGTTGAAGACCTACGCCCCAATGTGATGGTATTTGGAGATCAGGCCTTTGGGAGATAATTAAGGTTAGATGAGGTTATGAGGGTGGGGCCCTCATAAATGAGATTAGTGCCCTTATAAGAAGAGGCACCAGAGAGCTTTCTCTCTCCCTCCTCCATCTCTCTCTCCCCTTCCCCTCCTGCTCCCTCTGTTCCCAATCCCTGCTTCCCAACTCCCACCATGTGAGGACACATTAAGAAGGCCACCATTGGCCAGGTGCAGTGGCTCATGCCTGTAATCCTAGCACTTTGGGAGGCTGAGGTGGGTGGATTACGAGGTCAGGAGTTCAAGACCAGCCTGGCCAACATGGTGAAACCCCATCTCTACTAAAAATACAAAAAGTAGCTGGGCGTGTTGGTGGGTGCCTATAATCCCAGCTACTTGGGAGGCTGAGGCAGGAGAATCATTTGAACCTGTGAGGCAGAGGTTACAGTGAGCTGAGATCACGCCATTGCACTCCAGACTGGGCGACAGAGCAAGACTCTGTCTTAAAAAAAAAAGAGAGAGAGAGAAAGAAAAAGAAAAAGAAAAAAAGAAGGCCACCTTCTACAAGCCAGAAAGAGAGCCCTCACCAGAAACAGACCATGCTAGCACTTGATCTTGGACTTCTATTCTCCAGAACTGTGAGAAAATAAATTTCTGTTGTTTAAGCCACCCACTCTGTGGTATTTCGTGATGGCAGCCTGAGCTAAGACACTTGTGGAAAGGTAAGTGGTCTTGCTGGGACACATGGGTCCCTGTGGAGTTAACTGTTAAAATGGTTTGTCTGTGGTCTTATCTTGGGACATGTGGGTCTGAGTGAATTGCAGCTGTAACAAATTGAGCTTATATAGTTTACGTTGCAAGTTTTCAGTTTTGAAATTGTGGCTTTTGTTTCATATTTTAGAATCCTAAACTAAGGCTGTGATATGAATTATTGAAATTCAAAACTCTTAATAGGGTTGTCAGATAAAATATAGAACACCCAGTTAAATTTGAATTTCAAGTAAACAGTAAAAACATGTTTAATATAATTATATGCCAAATAGTGCATGGAATATACTTATTCTAAAAAAAATTCATGGTTTATCTGAAATTCAAATTAAACTGGGTTCCTGTATTTTTAAAAATTTTATTGAGGTACACTATACATGTATAATTTACCATATTTACCATTTTTAAATGCAGTTCAGTAGCAATAAATACATTGATATTCTTTGTTTTGCCTTTATTCCCCTCCCCTTCGCTGCCTCTGGTAACCACCAATCTACTGTCTATCTTCACGAGATTCACTTTTTTTAGCTCCCACATATGAGTGAGAACATACGATATTTGTCTCTCTGTGCTTGGCTTATTTCACACAGCATAATGGCCTCCATTTCTATCCATGTTGCTGCAAAGGGCAGGATTTCATTCTTTTTTTATAGCTTAATAATACTCCACTGTGTATATATATATCACATTTTCTTTATCCATTCATCCATTGATGGGCACTTAGATTCATTTCATATTTTGGCTATTGTGAATAGTGCTGCAATAAACACGGGCGTGCAGCTATCTCTTTGATATATTGATTTCCTTTCTTTCACATATATACCCAGGAGTGGCATTGCTGGATCATATGGTAGTTCTATCTTTAGTGTGTTGAGCAGCCTCCATACTATTCTTCATAGTGGTGGTACTAACTTATACTCCCAGCAATAGTGGATGAGGGTTCCCCTTTCTCCACGTCCTTGTAGGCCTCTGTTACTGCCTGTCCTTTTGATACAAGCTATTTTAACTGAGGTGACAGATACGATCACATTGTGTTTTTTATTTGCATTTCTCTGATGATTTAGTGATGTTTACAAATATTTTCTCTCATTTTGTGGGTTGTCTATTCACTTTGTTAGTTGTTTCCTTTGCTGTGCAGGAGCTCTTTAGCTGGATGTAATCCCAATTGTCTATTTTTGCTTTGATGGCCTATACTTTTGAGGTCTTACACAAGAAATCTTTGCCCAGACCAATGCCCTTGAGTATTTGCCCTGTGTTTTCTTCTAGTAGTTTCACAGTTTCAGGTCTTAGATTCAAGTCAATAATCCATTTTGATTTGATTTTTGTATATGTTGAGAGATAAGGGTCTAGTTTCATTCTTCTGCATATAGTTATCCAGTTTCCCCAGCACCATTTATTGGAAAGACTGTCCTTTCCCTATTGTATGTTCTTGATGCCTTCGTCAAAGATGAGTTGGTTGTAAATGCGTGGATTTATATCTGGGTTCTCTATTCTGTTCCATTGGTCTATGTGTGTCTGTTTTTATGCCAATATGCTGGCATACTGGCATAAAATCATGCTGCTTTGGTTACTATAGCTTTGTGGTAAATTTTGAAGTTAGGTAGCGTGATGCCTCCAGCTTTATTCTTTTTGTTCAGGATTGCTTTGGCTATTTGAAGTATTTCATGGTTCCATATAAATTTTAGGATTGTTTTCTCTCTTTCTGTGAAGAATGTCACTGGTATTTTGATAGGGATTGCATTGAATCTGTAAATTAATTTGGGTAGTATTGTAATTTTAACAATATTAATTATTTCAATCCATGAGCATGGAGTATCTTTCAATTTTATTGTGTCCTGTTCAATGTCTTTCATCAGAATTTTATTGTTTTCCTTGTATAGATCTTTCACTTCTTTGGTTAGATTGATTCCTAGGTGTCTTGATTTTTTACAAATTGTTCACTGGTGGCATATATAAATACTATTGATTTTTGTATGTTGATTTTGTGTCCTGCACCTTTATTGAATTTATCAGTTCTAACAGTTTTGTGGTGGAGTCTTTAGGTTTCTCTAGGTATAAGATTTGTCATGTGCAAACAAGGCTCATTTGACTTCTTCCTTTCCAGTTTAGATGCCTTTTGTTTCTTTCTTTTGCCAAATTACTCTGGCCAGGACTTTCCAATATTACGTTGAATAACAGTGTTGAAAGTGGACATCCTTGTGTGGTTCCAGTCTTTAGAGGAAAGGCCTTCCATTTTTCCCTATTCACTATGATGTTAGCCATGGGTTTGTCATAGATGGGCTTTATTATTTTGAGGTATGTTCCTTCTATACCCATTTTTGAGGAGCCTTTTTATCATAAGGGGATGTTGAATTTTATAAAAATGTTTTTTGGCATCTATTGAAATAATCATATGGTTTTTATTCTTAATTCCATTAATGTGATATATCACAGGTATTGATTTGCATATGTTGAAACATCCTTGCATCCCTGGGATGAATCCCACTTGATCATGGTGAATGATCTTTTTAATGTATTGCTGAATTCAGTTTGCTAGTATTTTGTTGAGGATTTTTGCATCTATGTCCATCAGAAATATGACCTGTAGTTTTCTTCTTTTGTGGTATTTTCTTCTCTGGTGTTGGTATCAGAGTAATGCTGGCCTCATGGAATGAATTTGGAAGAATGTCCTCTTCAATTTTCTAGAATAATTTGAGTAGGGTTGGTATTGGTATTAGTTCTTTAAATGTTTGATAGAGGCCAGGCACTGTGGCTCATGCCTGTAATCCCAGCATTTTGGGAGGCCAGGGTGGGAGGATCACTTAAGCTCAAGAGTTCAAGATCATCCTGGGCAACATAGTGAGACCTTGTCTCTAC
The DNA here is from genome assembly GCF_000001405.40 of Homo sapiens. Classification (NCBI taxonomy): domain Eukaryota; kingdom Metazoa; phylum Chordata; class Mammalia; order Primates; family Hominidae; genus Homo; species Homo sapiens. Next base: position 27,442,802 of record NC_000012.12, on the reverse strand, counting down.
AAAAAAATCCAAAAATTGGCTGGGTGTTGTGGCGCATGCCTGTAGTTGCAGCTATTCAGGTAGCCAAGGCAGAAAGATCACTTGAGCCCAGGAGGCTGAGGCTGCAGTGAACCATCCACTGTACTGACAAAGTGAGACCTGACAAAGTGACTGGCTGACAAAGTGAGACCCTATCTCAAAAAATAAATAAATCAATGGTTGGTAGAATTCAGCAGTGAAGTCATCAACTCCTAGGCTTTTCTTTGATAAGAGACATTTTATTATGGCTTGGATTATTGGTTTGTTGAGGTTTTCTATTTCTTCATGGTTCAATCTTGGTAGGCTCTGTGTGTTCTGGAGTTTGTCTGTTTCTTCTAGGTTTCCAATTTGTTGGCATACAGTTGTTCATACTAGTCTCTAATGATTCTTTGTATTTCTGAGGTCTCAGTTTCTATGTCCCATTTTTCATTTCTGATTTTATTTATTTGAGTCTCTTTCTTTCTCTTGCTCTTTTTTAAATTAGTCTAGCTAAAGTTTTGTTGATTTTATCTTTTCAAAAAGCCAACTTTTCATTTCATTAATTTTTTTGTCTCAATTTCATTTATTTCTGCTCTGATTTTTATTATATCTTTCCTTTTACTAATTTTGGATTTGGCTTGTTCATGCTTGTCTAATTCCTTGAGGTACATCATTAGGTTCTTTATGTAAAGTCTACTTTTCTGATCTAGGGATTTATTGCTATTAACTTCCTTGTTAGTACTGCTTTTGTTGTATCACATAGATTCTGGTATGTTGTATTTCCATTTTCCTCTGTTTCAATTCATTTTTAAGTTTCTTTCTTAATTTCTTCATTGACCCATTGGTTGTTCAGGAGCATGTTGTTTAATTTTCATGTTTGTATGTTTTCCAAGGTTGCTCTTGTTATTGATCTCTAGTTTTATTCCATTGCGGTCAGAGAAGATACTTGACATGATTTCTATTTTTTTGAATTTATGCAGACCTAAGATATGGTCTATTCTGAAAAATATTCCATGTGCTGATGAAAAGACTATGAATTCTGCAGCAGTGGGGTAAAATCTTCTGTAAATGCCAGTTAGGCCTATTAGATATAGTGTGTAATTTAACCCCACTGTTTCCTTGTTGATTTTCTGTCTGGATGATCTGTCTATTACTGTGAATGAGGTGTTAAAGCCCGCACTATAATGGTACTGCAGTCTCTCTCTCCCTATTAATGTTTACTTTATATTTTTGGGAGCTCTGGTGTTAGGTGCATAGATGTTTATAATTTTTATATCCTCTTCCTGAATTGACCCCTTTATCATTATATAGTGACCATCCTTATCTTTTTTATAGTCTTTGATTTGTAGTCTATTTTATCTGATATAAGTATAGTTAGTCATGCTTGTTTTTGGTTTCCAGTTGCATGGAATAGCTTTCTCAACCCTATCACTTTCGGTCTACGTGTATTTTTATAGGCGAAGTGGGCAACTTGAAGGCAGCATGTAGTTAGATATTACTTATTTATCAATTCAGCTCCTCTATGCCTTCTTTATTATTATTTTTTTGAGATAGAGTCTTACTCTGTTGCCCAGGCTGGAGTGCAGTGGCACGACCATGGCTCACTGCAGCCTTGACCTCCTGGGCTCAGGCGATTCTCCAATCTCAGCCTCCCAAGTAGCTGGGACTACAGGCGTGTGCCACCGTGCCCAGCTAATTTTTATATTTTTTTTGTGGAGACATGTTTTGCCATGTTGCCCAGGCTGGTCTCGAACTCCTGAGCTCAAGTGATCTGCCCACCTCAGCCTCCCAAAGTACTGGGATTATAGGCATGAGCCACCATCCCCAGCCACTCTATGCCTTTTAATTAGAGAATTGAGACAATTTACATTCAGTGTTAGTATTGATAAGTAAGGACTTACTACTGTCATTTTGTTGCTTGTTTTCTGTGTTTTGAGACTCCTCTCTCGCTTTGTGGTTAAGTGATTATCTCTAGTAGTATATTTTAAATTGTTGCTTTTTATTTTTAGTGAAGCTACTATAGGTTTTTATGCTGTGGTTACCTTGAGGCTTACAAAAAACATTTTATAGATATAAAAGTTATTTTAAAGAGATAACAACTTATCCTAGATCACAAATAAAAGACTAGAAACAAAGGCCAAAAAAAAAAAAAAAAAACCCACAGAAAATTCCACACTTTAACTCCACCACCCCCAGCACACATTTTGACTTTTAGTTGCCTCAATTTATTTTAATATTGCCTGTCTCTTAACAGGTTGCTCTACCTATTGTTGTTTTTGTTAGATTTATCTTTTAGGCTTCATTCTAGAGTTATAAGTGGACTGCACACCACAAGTACAGTCATAGAGTATTCCGGGTTTGTCTGCGTATTTAATTTGCCAGTGGAGGTTATACCTTGAATAGTTTTCCTTTGCACGTTAGTGTTTTTTTTCTTTCAGATTGAAGAACTACCGTTAGCTTTTCTTGCACAACAGAACTGGTGTTGGTGAATTCTCTCAGCTTTTGTTTTTCTCTAAAAGATTTTATCACTCCTTCAAATGTGAATGACAATTTTGAGAATACAATATTATTGAGTGACAGGTTTTTATTTTTCTTTTAGCACTTTGAAAATGTTTTTCTATTCCCTCCTGGCCCCTGTGGTTTCTGTTGAGAGGTCTGTGGCCAGATGAACTGGAGCTTTTTAATATATTATTTGCTTCTTATCTCTCACTGCTTTTAGGATCTTCACTTTGTCTTTAGCCTTTGGGAATTTGACCATTAAATGCCTTGGGGTAGTTTTATTTGGGTTGAATCTGTTCGGTGTTCTAAGACTTTCCTCTACCTGCACATTTATATCTTTCTCAAGTTTAGGGAAGCTTTTTATCATTATTTCTTTGAACAAGCTTTCTACCTTTTGCTGTTCCTCAGTTTCCTCTTAAACACTAATAATTCTTAGATTTGGTCTTTTGAAGTTTTTTTCTATATCTTGTAGGTGGTCTTTGTTCCTTGTTCTTCTTTTTCTTTTTTCTTCTCTATGTATTTTCAAATGCCAGTCTTCAAGCTCACTGATTCTTTCCTCTGCTTGGTTCATTTTGCTGTTGAGAGCCTCTAGAGTTTTTCAGCTCAGCAAATGTATTTCTCAGTTCCAAGATTTCTGTTTCAGTTTTAAAAAATCATTTCAGTGTCTTTGTTAGATTTCCCTGATAAATTTCTGAATTGTTTTTCTGTGTTATCTTGGAGATCGCTGAGTTTCCTTAAAACTGCTGTTTTGAATTCTTGGTTGGGGAGCTCACAAATTGCCGTCTTGTTAGGGTCAGTCACTGGATTTTTGCTTTGTCTTTTTGGCGAGGTGATGGTTTCCCATTTGCTTTTGTTTCTTGTGAGTATATGTCTACGTCTTTGCATTGAAGGATTAGTTATTCAAGTCACTGCCTCCTTTTCAATTCTAGGTGACCTTAAGCTAAGGTTCAGCTTGCCTATAATAAATGGTTGAAGCACTGCCTGTCCCAAATGGGGAAGGTCCCAAAGGGATTATCCCAGCAGTGTGGGAATGCTGGCTAGGGTTCGTGCCCAGGGGTCCTGGGGAACATACCTCCTAACAGCCACTTTTATCTGGTGTCTCCTTTGGCCAAGTTACAGAGCAGAGTTTCTGGGCTGAAGATGGTAGCCCTGCCTCCCTAATTGTCTCTGCCTATCCTTAGGGATATCTCTCCCATGAAACAGTCCTAATGCTACTTGTGGGTTAAGGCAAGGACAGTTCTCCTGCCAGAAAAACCAAAAAGGTGAGGAAGCTTATTAACCACCTCAATTTCACTTTTCCAGTGCAGAAACCGTAAGTTGGATGGGGATTTTCCATGTGGTTCATGTCTTGCAGAATGGGGTGGAAGGGGTATTGCAGGTGCAGAAGTCTGGTTCTCCTACCACTGTCTAAGAGTTCTTCCATTTCTCTGTGGCCCCAGGAACTGTCTCATCCTCATACTTGAGCTCTGGTTTGTTGCTGGTGAAGATCTCAGTCCTATATATTTGTTTGTTTGTTTTTTTGTGGGGGAAATGGTGGGTGGGTGGGTGGGGGGAGAAGCCAGCTTGCTTCTGTGTGGCCATTTTGGAACTGGAAACTCCAATCTCCTGTATTTGCTAAACTGGCAACTCTAACATGTAAAGGATTGATACAGATAGATGAATGTTTGTTGAATGAATGACTAATGTAGTTGATCAGATGTATAGAGTAAGAAGGAGAGATGAGTGAATGATGTCTTCCAGGTTCCTGGTTTGGAAAATGGGCAAATATCGGTACCCTTCAGAAAAATAAGGACAATAGAGGAAAAGCAGGTTAGGGAAGAAAGGCAAAGTGATGAATTGCACTTTGGACAGGTTGAGGTTAAGTTCTCCCTGGAACATATTAACAGATATGACCAGTAGGCTGTCGGCTGCATTGCTCTGGAGCTAAGGAGAAGATCAGGATGGAATCATAGGTTTGAGAGTTATCATCAATTAATGGTAGTAAAGCTATAGGAGTGGATGAAACCACAGAAAATAAAGCAAGTAGAAAGCAGCCCTAGGATGAAGCCTAAAGGAACTCTGACATTTGAATGGCCAGCGGGTTAAAGGAAAACCAGGAGTGAGATATCACAGAAGCTGAGGGAGGAAGATTCAAGAAAGGGAAGAAGTGGTCTGCAGTGACTAACATTCCAGAGAAATAAATGTTAAAGAACACCAAGAGGTCAGTGGTGACCTTGAAGAGAAGCATTTCAGTGGAGGAGGTGAGACAAGAAGTGAATTGGAGAAGTGAAAGCAGGAAGCCCGGGAGTGTAGGCAAGTCTTATAAAAACCCAACTGTGAAGAGGAGGGTGGTCACTGGAGAAAGACATGGGGCCTAAGGATGATTGTGTTTGTGATCAGAGTAAACAGAGCAGGTTTAAATGCACAAGGGAAGGATTTAGAAAAGAGGGAGATGTTGAAGATACAAAAGAGGGAGACAGACTGAGGTGTTGAGGGGAAATCAGATACAGAGCCCAGGTGAAGGGGTCTTTGGACAAAAGGAGCTCTCTTCCATATTGACAGGAAGTAGGCTGGAGCTGCGCATGCAGGTGAACTGGTAGTTTAGGAAAAGGAAACTGATTTATGGCAGGAGAGCTCTGTGCATAGATTCTTTCCCCTGAAGAACCCCCTTCCCTTTGTGAACTGTTCATGCCAGTTGTACTTATAATATTTAACAATGTGAGCTGAAGGAATCAATTTAAAATAAAATCGAGTGAAATAAAATCAAACTAAATGAAATCTACGCTTTGGGAAAATCCTTTAAAAGGTGAGTTGCTACTTTTTTGGGTCAAAGTAGGTGTGGGCAAAATCAACCATAAAAGTTTGGATTAAAAAAAAAACCCAAAATTGCTTTCACCTGTATTGCTTTACCTAAAAAGTCCAAACTGGACATCGTCAATGATAAATCATTGCCATTATTTTTGCAGAACTCCAATTTATGGACCTTCTCCAAAAGGTGTTGGCTCTAACTCAGATGATTAACAAATGGATGCCCACTATGTTTTGTTTTTGTTTTTTGAGACAAGGTCTTTCTCTGTCACCCAGGCTGGAGTACGGTAGCACCATCATAGCTCACTGTAGCCTCGAACTCCTGGGCTCAAGTGATCCTCCCGCCTCAGCCTCCCAAAGTGCTGGAATTACAGGTGTGAGATAATGCACCCAGCCCCACTTATGTTTTAAGTTAAAATAAAATGTCTACATCATATATATGTTTCTTTTTTGGTGATTTCCTGCTTTAATAAGCCTTTTCAGCTAATGTAACAATGTGTAGTCCCAACCACATCCCATAAGGGGGTTTCTGCTGTACTTTGATGGTGAACATGGCGAAGTGATATGCATAGTCATCTTTTGTAAGGGCAATGTGGTGACATGGAAAGTTTGAAGAGAGTGAAAAAGTCTGAAATTGCTGTTAATAGGGAATGGGCAAGACAACTGGCTTCATAAATATATGTAGCCTTACTGTCATGCCCTATGTATCTATATCTAGCCCATTACCAGGAGGGGCACTATCTTACCACCTTACTCTTAGCTAGCTCACCAGGAACATACCTGGGGGTCAGTGGACGGAGCTTTCCTTTACTTGATCCATCTGGGTCAAGTGGATGGAGTGGATGGAGCATTCCTTTACTTGATCCATCTCATTACTTTTAAATTCATACAGAGTCAACCTTAGCTAGGCACCCGGAAGCTCATTATTTCCCTGACCTCCCTCAGTCTTTCCTTTCTTTTGTTTTCTTCTTTTCGTTTCTTCCTCTTTTCTTTTCTACCCCTCTCCTCTTCTGCTAGACCCATCCTGTGAATGCCCCCACCATGGTCAGGGCTGGAGGAAGGATTGTTCCTGGCTGCATTCTGGCAGGACAAATGTGGATCCATCTGGTTGGTCACTCCTTAGTTTTCCATATGGTTCCCACCCATCCCCTACACTTTCCATTCTCCAAAGTGCAGTATTAATAAGGTAAAACCAAACCAAAACAAAACAGACAAAGCAACCTTTGTGTTGTTAATACTGATGAGCTCCCCACCCAAGGTGAGTGCTGCAGACTGAATGTTTGTGTTTCCTGATTCATATGTTGAAATCCTAACCCCCACTGTGATGGTATTAGGAGGTGGGACATTTGGGAGGTGATTAGGTCATGAGGGTGGAGCCCTTGTGAATGGGATTAGTGCCTTCATAAAAGGGGTCTCAGAGAGCAACCTTTCTCCTTTTCTATCATGTGAGGACACAGCAGGAAGACAGTTGTCTATGAACCAGGAAGTGGAACCTTCATCAGATACTGAATCTGAGAGTATCTTGATTTTAGATGTCTCAGCCTCCAGACTGTGTGAAATAAATGTTTGTTGTTTAAGCAATCTAGTCTATGGTATTTTTGTTATAGCAGCCCAAATGGACTAAGATAGTAGGAATGGAAAAGATAGAAGTGGGTGAAGAGAAACAAGAACCCCACGCTGCCTCACTGAGGCTCATTGGTGGGAGACCATGAATTTATACAGAACTGTGACTTTCTCCAGAGATGCCTGGTATCTCTAGTGTAGAAATGGGGTCACCAGAGAGCTGAACTGACCCAGAGGTGGGAATTTTTGGAGTCACTAGAGCCAAAGATAATGGGGCCAGGAGGTTGAGAACATTGTCAGAGTAAGTGAAGTGATAACCTTGGACCAGTCTGGGTAGGGAAAGAAGAAGAGTGAGAGAGAGAAAGAGAGAGAGAGACAGAGACAGAGAGGAGAGAGATGGGGGATGGGGGGGAGAGAGAGAGAGAGAGAGAGGTAACAAAGCAAAATAGGAATCAGATGAGTGGTGGCATCAATGAAGATAAAGAACAAACAGGAGAATGTTTTTTTCCTGCCCCTTTTGACAGAAAGAAAGGAAAACTACCTCTTTAGAGTTTAGAGTAGGGGTTCTTCATTATGGGGGCGGGGATTTTGCACCCCACCCTCCCAGAGGACATTCAGCCCTGTCTGCAGACATTTTTGGTTGTCACAATTGCCGGGGGGGGGGGGGGGGGGGGTTCTGCTGCCATCTAGTGGATAGAGGCCAGGGATGCAGCTAAACAGCCAACAGTGCACCGGACAGGCTCCCACAGCAAAGAATTATACAGGATGTATAATTAAAGAATTATACAAATGTCAGTAGTGCCAAGGTAGAGAAACCCTGCTCTAGAAAATGTGTCACTGTCATCTGAAAACTGAAGTCATCTGAAACCCTTCAAAATGGGAACATTACCCAGGAGTATAAAACGTGCCTGGCTAGGGAACCCCAGCTTCTCAGCACAGTTTACCCTGCTATGAAAGAGAATGTGAAGGTCTCCAAGAGGACAGGGAGATTTCAGGAGCCCCTTGGAAGGTGGTGGTTGTGAGTGGAACCTTCCATGGCCTGGTAGCAGGTGCCGCCTCGTGTAGCAGACAGCTTCCTACAGACACTCCCTCAGTCACTGCAGCTGCCCATGGTGTGGGACACCCCTTCCATCTCTAGAGCAAACATGCCCTCTTATTTGACTTACAGTACCCCCTTCCCTTAAAATGTCCTCTATTTATATAAGTTTGGACTATTTCCATAGCTGGGGAATGGCTACCTTATTTTCTCCTTAAGCTGCCACAGATATTACTAGTCAACTTTGCAGTATTTTTTTCTTCTTGTTTTTTTAAATAAACTAATTGTCTAAATCCAGTGATAAAAAAGAATGGATCTTTTTCAGTTGGTTTGTTTTCCTGAAACATATCTTCTTTTTGTGTTCTAAAGATACATAGACAACTTCTGTACTCAATTTTGCTACAGAAGGAGGGTCATTGTTTGACAGCTCATTAGATGTTATATTTGGAAAGCTGTCTCTGTATTTTGCTCTTCAAATGTGGGGAAATTCTATTATTACTAAGATCACAAAGAATAAGAAGCCTCAACAAGTCTAGATAAAATGGACCAAGCTAATACCAGACACAAAGCAAGCAATAGTTCTCTAACAGTAGCGTGTCTCGGAATCACGTAGAGGGCCTATTACATGTTTCTGGGCCCCATATTCAGAGTTTCTGATTCAGTGGGCTCAGGTGGGGCGCAGGAATTTGCATTCCTGACAAGCTCCCAGGTGACACTAATGTTATCAGTCTCAGGACCACATATTAGGAACCACTGTAGATTCCAACATTTATTTTTGATGGATTCTGTTTTGGCGCTAGGTTATGTTTCAGAAAGCAGCTCTTTATTTTTCAGAACCACATAGCATGTTACTCTCTAATGGTTGTTCTTGTGGCCACACATCTGAGGTTGGAAAACATTAAGCTTTAAGATGTTTTGCACAGGGAGGTGGGAGTTGCAGTGAGCTGAGATGGCACCACCGCACTCCAGCCTGGGTGACAGAGCCAGACCATGTCTCCAAAAAATGTTTTGCAATCTTGCACGTTCAGGGCAACTGTTGGTATGATTTTTAATAACTTTGCTTATTTTCTATGACCTCTTGAGAAGAAATATTTTAATAATAAATGCTCACCAAAACTGTATCTATGTAAACACATAATCTAGAGTTAAAGGAAGAACGGCCTCTAGGCAGTAGGCCTAAGCAGCCATGATTCCTCATTTGTGTAAAACACCAGCTAGATATCCAATTAATAATGACTTCATTCCTTTTGTGGCTTAGTTTTTCAATATTTTTAATAATTATAGTTTAAAATAATCACTAAAAGTTGGGTAGAGTTTTAGAATTTCCTTTCTCCTGACACTTTTGCAATGTTCATTCCTGGTTGAGAATATGATATATGTGTGTGTGTGTGTGTGTGTGTGTGTGTGTGTGTGTATACACATCTGCATCTGCCCATGGTGTGGGACATCCCATCTCTAGAGCAGATGCCCTCTTATTTGACTTAGAGGTAGCCCCCTCCCTTAAGATGTCCTCTTTCTATTTATATAAGTTTGGATTGTTTCCATAGCTGAGGAATGACTACATTGTTTTCTCCTTAAGCTGCCACAGATAATATTAGTCAACTTTGCAGCTGTACTCTTATGCTGTTAATTTTTCCTTCTTGTTTTGTTAGCGACCAATCCTCTAAATCTAGTGATAAAAGAGAATGGATCTTTTTTAGCTGCTTTGTATTCCTGAAAATGCTAGCATACACACACACACACGTCTATATGTGTGTACGTGTATGTTTATTTTTTTCCTGTTTTTTAACCTTTAAAAATTATACATTTTTGTGGAGACCAAATTCCACAAGATAGTTACGATGTAGAATAAAGTTGACTAACATTTTCCAGAGAACTGACACCAATGTTATAAATGGCCATTCTGTAGCAAATACTGGAGAACTGCTTCAATAATACTATTTCATACAAATCTAATTTCATAGTATTTTAATAGAAACAATATAACAAAAATGGTTCTGTGGACAAATCAATATAAAAAATGAGGATTAATCAGTGAAAGAATTTGTCTGGGAGGATTTCTCAATGAGTTTAATATGCTTGTAATCATTGTGAATCTGCAGCTATGACTGTTTTTCAACGTGACATGTTTGGAGAATTCTGCTTTAATGAATATGCTTTTGGAAGTGTTTTTGAAGACATAATGACAAATAGATTTCATGTCATGTGTCACCTCAGTTGATCATGAATGGTTGCCTGGAGCTCTGTGTTGAAAAGGGTTCTGAAGCCCACTTTGGGTTCAACAAGAAAAACGTGATATTTCTTTAGCTGCACCTGCTGGAGATGTAGAGAGGATATGGTACAAATGCTATCCCTCTTTTAAATATGAACAGGGATGGTTCTTTTTTTCTGTCTCCCATTTCTTCTTATATAGTTGTATAAATTAGCCTCTCATATTTACAATGCTGAACTGAGTAATGATTTACAAATACAATTTTCATACTACATATTTCAAGAAATTTCCTAAGGTTTTCAAAATGTATTTCATGGCATTTGTTAAAAGTTTCTAATGTATTTTTTTTCCAAAATAAGTACGACACGTGCTTCAGCAACTGAGATGGAAATAGACACCAAAAGCACAAGCAACAAAAGCAAAAATAGACAAGTAGGACTGCATCAAACTTAAAAGCTTCTGCACATCAAAGGAAACAATAAGTGGAGTGAAAAAACAACCTATGGAATGTGAGAAAATATTTGCAAATCATGTATCTGATAGGGTGTTAACATCCAGAATATATTTTTAAAAACTCCTACAACTCAACAAAAAAACCAAATAACTTGATTTAAAAATGCGCAGAGGACAGAAGATATACAAATGGCCAACAAACATCGAAAAGACACCCAACAACACTAATCATTAGAGAAATGCAAATCAAAACCACAATGAGATATCACTGCACACCCATTAGGATGGCTACTATCCAATAAACAGAATAATAGGAGTATAACAAGAGTTATAATAAGAGTTGGCAAGGATGTGGAGAAACTGGAACCCTTATGCACTGGTGATTGCAATGTAAAATGGTACAACCACTACGGAAAACAGTTTGGAGATTTCTTACCTTAAAAAAAAGAAAAAGAAAATGGAATTATCATATGATCCAGCAATCCCACTTCTGGGTATATGTCCAAAGAATTGAAAGTAGGATCTTGAAGAGATATTTGCACACCCATGCTCCTGGCAGCATTATTCATAATAGCTAAGAGGTAGAAGTAACCTAAATGTACTTCAATGGACGGATGGATTTTTTTAAAATGTGATCTACAATGGAATATTATGCAGCCTCAAAAAAGAAGGAAATTCTGTCACATGGTACAACATGGAAGAACATTGAGGCTATGATGCTAAGAGAAATCCAGTCACAAAAAGACAAATACTTCATGTATTTGTATTTAAAGTATTCGATCTTTAGAAACAAAGCAGAACAGTGGTTGCCAGTGGCTGAGGAGAAGAGGAAATGGTATGGAGTTTCAGTTTTGCAAGATGAAAACATTCTAGAGATCTGTTGCAAAACAACATGACTACAGTTAACCACTAAATGTGTGGTTCAGTAGTGTTAAGGTAGTAAATTGAGGCCAGGTGCAGTAGCTCATGCCTGTAATCCGAGCACTTTGGGAAGTCGGATCACTTGAGATCAAGAGTTCAAGACCAGCCTGGCCAACATGGCGAAAACCCATCTCTACTAAAAATTTAAAAAATTAGCCAGGCATGATGGTGCACACCTGTAATCCCAGCTACTAGGGAGGCTGAGGCAGGAGAATGGCTTGAACCCAGGAGGCGGAGGTTGCAGTAAGCTGAGATCGCACCACTGCACTCCAGTCTGGGGCAACAGAGCTGTCTTAAAAAAAAAAAAGATAGTAAATTTCATGTGTTTTTTCATAACTAAATATCTTTTGTAAAAGAAATTGCTGTGCTTTGAGTTCAGGGGGTTAGGGTCCCCGAGAGCACACAATAAATCAAAGGTTTATCAAAATCACAGTTGAGAGCATGCATCGAGCTGCTCGGGTCTGGATTCTAACTCCACTGCTTATGAGCGGTGGGGTAACCTTGTTAAGTTACTTAACTCTTAAGCCCCAGTTTGCTTGTGTGTAAAATGGGGGATAATACCAGCATTTATCTTCAGGATTCTTAGGAGGCTTACATTAATACGTGTAATAGGCTTAGGAACTGTGCCAGCCACGGTAAGTATTTAATAAAGGTTCGATTTTATTCTTATTCCCTCAAAATTTCAACAACGCAAGAGAATTCAGATTGTAGCATTGGGCAGATGGTTCCAAGAATAAACATGTTGGAATTAGATTTCTGTATATAACAAAAGTTTAAAGGAATGCTAACACAGCCAAACTGTTTCTGAAAGTTTGGTTCTAACACAGTGGAACCTCCTGGGTTCGAGCAATTCTCCTGCCTCATTGATGGGTAGTCTGATAAATTAAAAACTTTAAAAGGAAATGTTAAAGTCAGAAAAAGCCACTATTCCCTCTGTTTTCTTATATTTTATAAACAAAATATATAGAACTATATTTTATAGTTTGAACACTTTTCAGAAAATAAGAGAAGAAAAAGTGATATACTATCACATAATGGAAAGATCAGTATCAAACTCTACTGTGTTTATTAACTTAAACAGCTTGGTACTGGTGAAAGAACAGACAATCACATTAATTCAACTCCCTGCCCACCACCACCATTACTTCATTTCAAAACGAGTACCAGAATATACAAGAACTTAATCGATGGTAATGGCAACATTTCGAATCAGTGGGAAAAGAAAGGACTAGTCATTGAAGAGTTGTGGAGAAAGGGCATAATATTTTGGAAAGAAAAATAGACTCCTGTATCTTATTAGAGGCCAAAATAAACTTCAGCTAGATCAAAGACTTTAGTATAAACTACGAAACCACAGGACACCTAGAAGGAAACTGAGGTGTGTGTTTATTTGATCTTGGGGTGGAGAAGTTTTCCCTCCTAAGCATAACAACAAAGAAATTAGGCAAGAAATATCAACATATTTAACCACATAAAATTAACTCTGGAAAGAATGCTGAATGCAAACTGTTTTTTATGGCAATTGGGCAATTTTGATTTGGCAATTGCACTCCAAGAAATTCATTCTAAACAACAGGAGAGAGGTGTACAGCATGTGTGTGTCTAGAAGGGATGTTAGCTGTCATATTACCCACAATAGCAAAACTTTCCGACATCCTAAATGCTTCATAATAAAGAAATATTTAAATGAATTGTTGACTTCCTATTCTATACTCATTCTGGGCCATTCATGAAGTGACAATAAAAGTATACTTAGAAACATAACTATAAATATGATAATCAGCTAAAAAAAGGTATAAGTGGTTGCTCTGGAGAACAAGAATTAGGGCTAAGGTGGGGACTATTTTTTTTTTTTTGTAATTTTATGACTTCAAATGCTATCTGACTTTTAACCAATATACGCATTACTTTGTACAATTTTATTATTCTTTTTTGTATTAAACAGTAGGATTCTAACTTTAAAAAAGTCATTAGAATATAAAGGCCTTGAAAAAAGAGAAAGACTACTCAAGTGTTGACTATGGTTTTTCACTAGGTGGTAAAATTTTTTATTAGGTGATTTTTATTTTCTTCTTAGCACCTTTATATAATCCTGAATTTTCCAAAAATGAATGTAAAGTTCTTTTACAAACAGAAAAAAAATTTAAAAAGCAATCTGCTACTAATACGTTACTACAAAGAAATAGTGTCTTTTTACTCCATAAGTTTTAATTATTTTACATATAATCTATGTGTCCATTTTCTCCCTCAAGAATAGATATTTCAGACACTACAACTGTGTTTTGCTTGACCTTTGCTAAATCAAACTGAACATTCATGGGCTGCCAAATAATTTAATCATCAGCTAATTATGTGATATTCGTCTACATGTCCCTTCTGGTAGATGGGAAGCCTTTTGGGTGATTGCTCAGTCAACAAAGTATTGAATAAAATTTTCAAGGGCTCTAGTAAGTTTTAAGTTTATGTAATCTAGGCATCCCATTTTAGTGTAGTTTTGTAAAAAAAAAAAAAAAAAAGTACATTTATTTCATGTATTTACCCCCAAGGTAAAATGTAACAGGTTTCCTCCTGGACAGGAGTAAATGTGAGAAGCATTGCCTTAAAGTCAGCCAGGAGCCAGGAGTGTCTAAGAAACTGTCATTCCAAGGCCAGAGGCACACAGCTGGACAAGAATTTAAGACAATTCTTTACTGACTCCCTCAACACACAATGCCTTAAGCAATGGACAGAGTCCTCCACAGTGACTAGTGGCTGAGTATTTTAAAAAAAAAAAAAAGGTGGCCAAGATTAACATTAAAAAGGTGTGACACAGCTTTCTCTGCCTTGCCTCCCCTCCTCAACAAAAAACAACCAAAACAGCCAAACAAAAAGATTGAGGCTCACATACTCAAAGTGCCTTTGCAAAAATTATGACAGTGAGAAAAATCTGACATAGGAAAATTATGACAGTGATAGAAATCTGACCTAACCAGCTCCATCTTGCTTCTAACTTCCAAGGTGTCCTTGTTCATTCCTGGGTGTAGGTTGAATTAACTTTGGGAGGGATTTAGTTTATAGTTTAACTTTGAAACAAAGATGCTAACAGCCCCTCCCTGAAACAAAACCACTCCTTGCCTGGGGACCAGACTGCCTTTGTAAAACTAACAAATTATTTACAAGATCAGAAATTATGGCTCAGGAGTATTCCCAACCTCCCCAATTGCTCCTGTGGATAACATCACTATTGTAAAACCTAACATTGGTGTTCAGAGATGTTTCTGATGAACCAACTGGTGTCACCCACAAGGGTAATCCGGTTCAACTAGTTCTGCAATCCCATCCAGGAACAGAAGACAGCAAGAAAAACCAGCTTCAACCCCATATGATTTCATCCTTAACCCGACCAATCAGCATTCCCCATTCCCTACCCTTCTGCCTGCCGAAGTATCTTTAACAAACTCTCACCTTCAAACTCTGGGGATGGCTGATTTGAGTAACAATAAAACTCCAGTCTCCCATTTACTTGGCTCTGCGTTTATGAAACTCTTTATTGCAATTTCCCCATCTTGATAAATCGGTTCTATCTGGACAGCAGGCAAGAAGAGCCCGCTGTGTGGTTGCAGTACCTACACCAATTCTAGGGAGTCAACCATCATGAATTACAAGAGGTTCTCTTGTCCCTTCTGCACATCCCTTCCCCTCTCTGGCTCCAGGCTGTCTGGCTGTTGGCTATTTCTGACGTCTTTTCCCCTTCAAGGGTGCCTTTAAAGTTCATTTTAATGTATTTAATCAGAATTAAAATGTTATAAACGGAAGGCAAAATAAGCAGTAGGGTAGGCAAAATAAGTAGGTAGGCCTCCTGAGGCCCTCTGTTCCCTACTCTACTTTCCTCAGAAGAGCCCTAGAATAAGAGGTCTGTGGATACGTCCATTTGTTGTTTGTGAATGGCAAGATCAGCGGTTCTCAAAGTGTGGTCCCCAGGCCAGATGCCTCAGCATCACATGACAACTTACTGGAAATGCAAATTCCCAAGCTCCAAGTCAGACCAACTGAATCAGAAATTATGGGCGTGAGGAGACCCATAATCTGTGTTTTAACAAGTCCTCCATGTAATTCTGATGCAAATAAATTTGAAAACCACTGGGCTGGATAAATAGGAAAAAACTGCCAGAGTATAACATATTTTGATGACTCTTCACAAGCAAAGTTAAAGCCTGACCTTCCCATACTCTATTAGCACTTTGCACATCCCTTTAAAGTAGCAGCTATCACATTCTATAGTTACTGCTTTCCACTGTCTTTCTACCAAACTGTAGTCTCTTAAGAGCAGGGACTGTGGCGTTTTCAATTGTCTCTAAGAGCATAGCACAGGATAAATAAGTGCTTACTTATTTGAAACAAATTGTCATTGAAACAAATGATGTCATTTATTAGGAACCATTTCAACTTTCTTTTAAAATGCCTTATAGATGTCCACCTTAGCAAACAAAATTGTTTACCTCTTTGTGCTGTAGATATACGTCTTCCCAAACACCCTACCTCAGTTGGGTTCTCTAGGTACTTAACGCTTTCCCATTGGTTATGAATTTCTACTGTTATTTGGGTTAAACTTTTGCAAGGCTTAAATTACTGTTGTACTACTTATATATTTGTTTGCTATATAGTCTCAGGAATTTTTTACTAACTTAATGATGAAGCTTCTCTATAACACTAATTTCCAACATTTATTATCATACTGTAGAGCTTATAAATTAACATATAATGATCATTGTTAAAATTACTGTCAGACAATGTGTAAGCACTTTACATAAGCTAATTTAATCCTCACTAAAGCTCTGCAAGGGTATTTACAAATGAAGTCTACTTTACGAATGAAGAAACTGAGGCTCAAAAGCTTCAGTGTGCCGCTCATCTCAGCTTTCTCTCCCATCCTCCATACTCACATATCCAACTATCTGCTAGACATCACCTGAACACAATTTGTCTAGAAGTGATGCATCTTCTACCCCAAAGTTGTCTCTCCTCATGTAACTCTTACCTCTTGAACAGCACTGCAATCCAGACCCCTGGGGCCAGAAACTTGAGTCATTGTTCACTGCTTTTGCTTCAACATTTCCCATATGCAATTGGTCCTCAAGTTCTTGCCATCCTACTTCTGTAATACAAATCTCTTAAATCTGTATCCTCTTCACCTTCACAGCCTCTTGTGCTGGCAGTGGGAGACCTGGGGAAGAGGAGAGTCCAGTGTGTTGGAAGATCCCCATGGGAGATCCCCAGATTCCAACAGGGCTGCCTCGCCAAACTTCAACCCAAGGTTGAGCATGTATCACAGCCTGGCTAATCTGTATATTCCAGGCTGTTGACCTGGAAAGAACCTACTGCTTATTTTGCCTTCCCTTCCTAACATTTTAATTCTGATTAAATAAATTAAAATAAACTTTAAAGGCATCCTTGAAGGGGAAAAGATGTCAGATGCCAACAGCTAGACAGCCTGGGGCCTGAGGGAGGACAGGGTTATCTGCAGAAGGGACAATAGAACCTTATAATTCATGATGGTTGACTCTCTAGAATTAGTGTAGATACTGCAACCACACAACAGAAAGTCCAGGTAAACCAAGTTGATCCAGAGGCCCAGTCAATGCATATGTGCATGTGAATTACTAGGAAATAGAGAGGCTCTCTTTCCACTGAAATTGTCAGGTATAAGAACAATATACGCTTGGAACTTCTGAGTGTCATTATGCGGAGAGGGTCCACCGGAAGATAAAACCAGCTCATAGGAAAGCAAAGCTGAGGGATGGAATGAGGAAGAGGCAGAAAGGGAGGAGGAGAGAGTCAGAGGGACAGATAAGGCTGATGACGTTGGAGTCTGACGTGAGCACAAGGAAACCTTTACTGGTTAAACCACTGAGATTTTGGAGTTGTTACAGCAGTTAGTATACCCTGGGGAACATACCCAGAAATATATATAGTAACAGAGTTCAATGTACCCCTCTGCCCAGTGGTTTGAGGGCACTGGATGGTTTCCTTAATCTATGTTTCCACATTAGAAAGTAGTTAAGGGAGCACTTTTTGGAGGAAGTTTATTAAATTAAAAAAAAAAACTACAAATGAGTAATTATAAAATATAATTTCACTCTTTTCATTATTTACCACAAAAATTTAAAAATACCAATATACAGACGAGCACAAGTGAACTGGAAAAGAGCTAAAAATTGTATAAAAGACAAATCTAAACTCAAGAATATATGAGAAGTGACATACACCATACACTCTCAAGTGAGTTCAGAAAGCATGTTCCGTGCTGGGCAGGTTTTCTTTCCAGGTCAGTTTTTATTGGCACTACACCTGGAAAGCTCTCTAAGCCAAAGTTCTTATGTGTCAGGATCTTCCTAGACCTCCCTTGGAAAGCATTTCTCATAAAACAACTCACACCAGACAGGCTGACTTATTGTAGGCACAAAAATCATAAATGCCTCTCATAGGCCCCATGGAGCTTGGAAAAAAAAGATCTGCTAATGAAAGCATTACAAAAACAGAAAAGTGGCACCTAGTGGCCACTTAGCAGCTTTTCTTTATGGCTTCTAGCTAATCATAGATGTCGGCCTGTCTGCCCGTAACATTGTGCTGGGCAAGTATGAGTCTCCAATTCCAGGGCTCAGTGATGACCCACCTGAGGGGGAGATACCTCTTGGCAGCATGATCTGAAACTGGACACTACTAAACATGGTCTGGGAACTAAATATTGGCTATTTCTTGTACCTGTGCCCCAGATTTTACGGAGATCCCTCAAAGACTATGACAACAAAGACATCCTTTTCTGTCGTGACACTGTAAATAAACACTTTCTTTTAAATTCCATTTATTTACTAAAAGTCTCTATTCTGTACTTTCCTGTTTGTCTTTGTTTCACAATAGATTTCTAAATTTAGTGATGACCATATAACTCATTTCACTTGATTCCAAGTATCATCCTGTAATAACACATCTGATATTTTAAAGTTTATTATTTTCAAAAGTTTAAATTTGGTAACATGGATAGAGACTTGTTATTTGATCTTACAGATTCAAGGATCAATAAATAATTGTTCTTCAAACATGGTATTTAAGGAAAAATATCCTTATGGTATAAACTTTGGTCTACTTCAATAATAACCACTTAATATAATGTTCTAGAGCAGCGCTGTCCAATAGAAATATAATCTGAGCCACATGTATAATTTTATTTTCTTCTAGCCACATTAAAAAAGTAAAAAGATACAAGTAGAACTAATTTTAATGTTTTAATTCAGTATATCCAAAATATCATTTGAACATGTAATTAATATAAAATTATTAATGTGATATTTTACATTCTTTTGGTAATACTAGTCTTCAAAATCTGGTATGTATCTTACATTGATAGCACATCTCACTTTGTACTAGCCACATTGCAAGTGCTCAGTAGCCACATGTGGCTAGTGGCTACTGCACTGGACAGCACAGTTCTAGGTTCCACCCTAACACCCAAGTCCTGTGGATTAGAATCCCAGAATCAGAGCTGGAAGTAAACATAGAGATCAAACCTCCTTTTAAAAATGAGGACGCTGAGGCACAGAGTTTAAATGGCTTGCATGAGGTCATACAGCTAAATTCAGCCTCAACAGGGTCTTCTGATTCCAGGCACTCTTCCCACTCCACTACATTACTGTAGTGGTAATTCTTAGGGTTAAAAAAAGTGTAGAGTAGGCCGGGCGCAGTGGCTCATGCCTGTAATCCCAGCACTTTGGGAGGCCGAAGTGGGCGGATCACGAGGTCAGGAGATCGAGACCATCCTGGCTAACATGGTGAAACCCCGTCTCTACTGAAAATACAAAGCAAAATTAGCCAGGTGTGGTGGCGGGCGCCTGTGGTCCCAGCTGCTCTGGAGGCTGAGGCAGAATGGCGTGAACCCAGGAGGCAGAGATGGCAGTGAGCCAAGATCGCGCCACTGCACTCCAGCCTGGGCGATAGAGCGAGACTCCATCTCAAAAAAAAAAAAAAAAAAAAAAAGAAAAGAAAAGAAAAGTCTAGAGTACTGTTTTTATGATACTTTCGTGCAATTTGTAGATATATTCTTTCTCACGAAAATTCAAAAAATTGACTCGCAGTAGAAAAAAGGAACATAGTGTATACCATAAAAATATGTCACTTCTAACAGCAAAAATCAAATTTAGTTGAAGAAAACTAAAACATTTTGAAGGAAACACAAACCTTAGGAGAGCTACGGTATCATACAATGCATGGATTAGATTTTGAGTCCAGGACAAAAGGATCTACAGAAAAATATTAGAGCGAACTAATAAAGGATCAAACCATGCACAGAGTATTCAACTGGCTATCTGCCCACTGGTCTATGGAATTGAACAGCCCCTCCTCTTGCAAAGAGAAAAAACTGCCACTGTGAGAGGCAGCACTGGTCTCCCTCTAGAAACTCTGCCTCTCAAATCCTGGCATCACGAGGGCAAGTCTGCCCCCATCTGCTTTTGAGGCCATCCAGCTATGATGGCCTACCCTGCCACCCCTGGCTTAGGCAGACTCTTTGGAAGCCAAGTCTAACCTGCAATGGTTCAGTCCCCTAAAAAGTGATATTGGTAGGCAGGCCCCTCTGCTCAATTTAGAGAACACAGGGGATCTTTCATACTTCTTTAGACTTAACTATAACACTTAGGCTGCTGCACACCAATTCTCCCCATCTTGTAGGATTTCTTTGGCTCATTCTAAACCTGATGTCTCTCAGGTCCTCAAGTGTCGGACCAGGAATGGTGCCAACCCTCCAACATTGCTGGGACACTATCAGTTCAAGAGGACAGTGTGCCAATACATCCTTGCCCACGAAGCCCCTGCACATTTCACACTTGAAGGAAACATTTGCTTTTGGTTATTGTCTGTTGGTATGTTTGTCATTAACATGTCTGACAGAAGTTCTAATCTATCACCTACAGCTAAAGAAATAGCATGCAGGGTCAAAATAATGCTTTGTTTTGGCGAGGGGCTCTGAGGGAAATTTTCTGGAAAGATGTAGCACCATATAGAACAGGAAACTGGATTTGAAGCCCACATTGAAGTCTGAGGGCTGCCCCATGAGTTCCCAGCCTATCTGACTTTCATTTGCGAGGCACGAGAGAGAAAATATGGGAGCATACTTGGCAAGCTATGAAGAGCTACTGAAGCAGAAAGTGTTATAAAGTATGATCCCCGAGAAGGTAGACATGCAGTATTTTAAATAATCTTAATTCTTATACTCAATTTGAGCCACCTCTGGATTAATTACTGTTAAAAATGCTCTCCAAATTTTAAATTATAACTAGAAAATTGGTTTTTAAATTATTTCTCATTGCCTCATAATTTTAAACATGTACTTGTCATTTTGTTTTATTACCTTTGGTTACAGGCAATAACTGTAATTGCCTAATTACTTAGAAAGCTACAACTAGTTCCTGGGTCAGTTAGTTAATCATTTAATCTGTGAGACCAATGTTTTCCCAAATGTGTATAAAGAAACTGGTTTATATACATTAAACATTTAAAACTCTATGAATTTAATGTGTGACTGAATTTAATGTGTGACTTTACACAAGACATTTAATCTGCCCGGGCCTACTTTTTTCCTTTAGGACAAATCTATCCCTAAGTATGTTTCCAATGTCAAAAACCTAATCTATCTATAATAGAGATCTTCAGTGATTATATTAAATCTTTTTTTTTACTTTTTTTGAGATGAAGTCTCACTCTGTTGCCCAGACTGGAGTGCAGTGGTGCGATCTCGGCTCACTGCAACCTCTGCCTCCCAGGTTCAAGCAATCCTCTCGCCTCAGCCTCCCAAGCAGTTGGGATTACAGGTGTGTGCCATTAGGTCATGAGGCCTTTGCGCTCATGAATGGACTGTCATTATCGTGGGAGTTGGTTAGTTACCTCAAGAGTGAGTGCCTGGGTAATTTTTTTTGTATTTTTAGTAGAAACGGGGTTTCACCATATTGGCCAGGCTGGTCTTGAACTCCTGACCTCAAGTGATCTGCCCGTCTCAGCCTCCCAAAGTACTGGGATTACAGGCGTGAGCCACCACGTCTGGCCTATTAAGAGTAAATCTTATATGCAGAGGTTAATCCCCAAGATCTAGGGCCCAAGATCCTTCCTTTTCTGTAAGGAAAGCTGAAACTCTTTTGACTTTCTGAGTTTTAAGCAAGAAATCATCTCACTTAAAATTCATCTTAAAGTGCTCAACTGAGCATAAATATCCCAGCTCTGTGCTTGCCTAAGTCTCCAAAGATCAAATACAGTATTCAATGTGATTATGACTATAAATTGCACTGTCCCTTTAAATGTTCAAGTACTCACTGTTTTCTTAAAGTGTGTAAGCCCTATCCTCAATTAAGGAAATTCGCAAGGAATGGAAAATGTTCCAAATTATACAAACCTACTATTATAAATGAATCTTAGACACAAAGGAAAACATCAATATATTACATTACCTCAACTAAAAAAAACTGCATCAAAAATAAAACAAAGCCAAAACAATATGTAAGTAGTATTCTTGGTTAGAAATATTTTAGCAAAAATATGGCAACTAGTGGATTATAAGCCATTTCACTGAATAAAGGAGTCTATAATAAACTTGGTTCTCTTGGGAGGAAAACGTATTTCCCCACATCCCTGTGACAGGAAGATGCAAATCTATAAAAAGTGGTAGAACATTAATAAAAGATACAAACAATATCAATACAGTACTTAAGAATAGTTGAGACAGTTTTTCGTAAATGAAATGCTTTAAAATGTTTCTCATTTTTGGAGTTAAAAATCAAAGGCTAGAGGGTCCACTGGATGTCACTGAAGTCCCCAGGGT
The DNA here is from genome assembly GCF_000001405.40 of Homo sapiens. Lineage (NCBI taxonomy): Eukaryota > Metazoa > Chordata > Mammalia > Primates > Hominidae > Homo > Homo sapiens. Next base: position 27,420,494 of record NC_000012.12, on the reverse strand, counting down.
CTCCCAGGCCCCCCTCTGCTTCTAAGTAATTCATAAATGCAGCCATGGCTGTGTCATCATTGTCACATAGGGCATCGAAATCCAACTGTGCACCATCACCTATGAATTAAAATACAGGCCTGTGTAAGTAAAGGTGATCAGTAAAGTCATACATTTCACACATTTTGAGGTTAAAAAATGATTGTGATAAAAAATGGCAAAGCAAGGCTAGAAAACCATAAAATGTATTTTTGAAGGCAAAGTATATATCTTAAGCTGCAGATGGCTGATGTATTTTTAAATGGGTTACCTAGTTTTATAACAATCTTCTGTCAGATAAATTGCACCTAATTCATCTGCTACAGAGAAGTAAGCTAGTCTATGAGTTTTCTAATAGGAAATTACACTGCTAAAGGGTACAGACTCTCAGAGAGCTGGAAGGAAGCTAGGAAATTTAGTGTATGTTTGTGTGTGTGTGTGTGTGTGTGTGTGTGTGCACGCGCAAACCCTGGAAGGAGAAAATTTAATCTGCTTATGAAAAAACCCTATCTGTTTAATACTGAAATGAGAAGCCTGAGACAGAAGCATCTTCTAAAGATTTGGAATTTTCTTATAAAAGGGAGATAAATCAGATTTTTATTGAAAAAGGAAGTAAGTAGGAACCATGGAGATGATAATTAATTTAGAGATAAAAGGTTCTAGAAATTAAGGGTTAAAATGCAGATAAAGACTAACCAAAGGTTTGTATATATGTGTCAAAGTACAGTGGAACTTCAGATAATAAATATATGGCTCTATGTGTGTTTAAAGTGGATATCCAAATTCCTTCAAGTCCTTTGCTTCTCTTTAGTGTATGCTTTAGCAGAGCAATGTCAGTCATGGAGGATATGAAACTATATACAATAGTTTGAATTTGTCCACTAAAATTCATGTGTTGGAAACTTAATCCCCAATGCAATGGTGTTGAGAAGTGAGGCCTGATACAAGGTAATTAGGTCATGAGGCCTTTGTGCTCATGAATGGACTGTCATTATCATGGGAGTTGGTTAGTTATCTCAAGAGGGAGTTTGTGATAAAAGTGAGTTTTCCCACATCTTGCTTTCTCGCTCTTACCCTCTCTTGCCCTTCTGCCTTCCGCCATGGGAAGATGAAGCATGAAGGTCCTCATAAGATGCCTGCACTATACTCTTGGACTTCCCAGTCCCCAGAACTGTGAGCCAAATAATTTCTGTTTATTACAAATTACTCCATCTGTGGTATTCTGTTATAGCAGCATAAAACAGACTAAAATACCATGTCACTCAATTTACTTGATCTGGACTTTGCATAAACATTGTTAAAATGAATGATTACATCTTAAACTTTTTTGACTTCTATCCTTTATGAATTCTCGGTAATTCTTGAGAATGGACCTTTTTTCCTAGATAGAAATACCTTGGTTTTAATTAAATTGTGTATTTACCAATACTCATAGCTGATTCCATTGATAACTGAATTCTTAATGACAGAACCATTAAGTAACATCCTTTTTTTTTTTTAGATGGAGTCTTGTTCTGCTGCCCATGCTGGAGTGCAGCAGTACGACATTGGCTCACTGCAACCTCCACTTCCCAGGTTCAAGCGATTTTCCTGTCTCAGCCTCCCGAGTAGCTGGGATTATAGGTGCCTGCCACTACGCCCAGCTAATTTTTTGTATTTTCAGTACAGATAGGGTTTCACCATGTTGGCAAGGCTGGTCTCGAACTCCTGACCTCATGATTCGCCTGCCTTGGCCTCCCAAAGTGCTGGGATTACAGGAATGAGCCACCATGCCCAGCCAATGGTAGCATCCATTTTAAGATTGAGTACAATTATTGTTATTTAGAATTTCGAACAAAAAAAATATTTATTTATTTATTTACTTTTTTTTTTCAGACAAGGTCTCACTCTGTCACCCAGGCTGGAGTGCAGTGGTACAATTACAGCTCACTGCAGCCTTGAACTCCTGGGCTCAAGCAATCCTCCTGCCTTAGCCTCCTAAGTAGCTAAGACTATAGACATGAGCCATCATGCCTAGCTAATTAAAACAATTTTTTTTTCGTAGGGATGGGTTATTGCTATGTGTGCCAGGCTGGTTTGAACTTCTAGCCTCAAGCAATCCTCCTGCCTTGGCCTCCCAAAGTGCTGGGATTACAGGTGTGAGCCAATGTGCTCAACTGAAAAAAACCTTAGTTTTAAAACTATCTGCTTCTCTACAAATTTCCTGTGCCTGAAAACATAGTGATTAAGAGGGGGGTTTTGATAAACGAAAATGGTCAGCAGTTCCCAAAGAAAACTTACTGAGGAGTGGCTCATGGCTGTGGACAGCAACAGTACTCTGGTTTTGCCTGGTAGCCTCTAGCTCCCCCATTTCAGAAGGACTTGGTGGAAACAACTCCTTATTTGACATCTGAAAAGACAGCCAGAGTAACAAACAGTGAGGTTCCTACTAGAATAAGGACACTCTTTATTTATTTATTTTTACTTTTTATTTTTTATTTTTTTGAGATGGAGGCTCGCTGTGTTGCCCAGGCTGGAGTGCAGCGGCATGATCTCGGTTCATTGCAACCTCCACCTCCTGGGTTCAGGCAATTCTCTTGCCTCAGCCTCCCAAGTAGCTGGGATTACAGGTGTGTGCCACCACGCCCGGCTAATTTTTTGTATTTTTAGTAGAGATGGGGTTTCACCGTGTTAGCCAGGATGGTCTCGATCTCCTGACCTCATGATCTGCCCGCCTCGGCCTCCCAAAGTGTTGGGATTACAGGTGTGAGCCACTGCGCCTGGCCAAGATAAATACTTTTTAGCAGTTATCAGACATGGGCCTGCCACCAATGCTACAACTGCCACCATCAATATGGAAGCTTGCTTTTCCCGAGGACCATGTGCCAAGCTCTCCACCTGCATCATCTCATCTCATTTCTCAGATACCGTGAGGCAGCTATATTACACATCATAAATCTGAGGCCTAAAGGGATATCTTGCCCAAGGTGTTGAAGCCATGATTCTAACTCAAGTCTACCTGACTCCAAAGCCTGCATTCTTAAGAGCCATAACTGAAGGTGCATATGTAAGGAAAAGTTTTGGATGAAGAAGAAAAAGTTCACGTCCACAAATGCTTGGGGTCAAAGTTTATTTCTGTTTTTATAAAATGATGGCAAAACTATACCTCATATAAAACTACTATGGGAAATATTGCTTTGGAGTGGGAAACATTAAACCAAATGCTGTTACTGAAAAGTTCTTATACTGTTATATAGTTACAGGCCAAACAATCTAATAATCCATGTAGCTCATAAAACAGGAAATCATTTGCCTATATTGTCTCAAGTTGACATACTTTATCTATAGAATGCTTACATAACGTACACTACTTAGACATTTTTACTACCACATAAATCTGTTTCTCGCATCCTGCCTCACGCAAAATGGATACCTAATAAACACGTGCTAACTGTATGAAAAAAATGAATAAATAATAAAGCAGAAGACATGATATTTGTATAAAAAGACATGACATTTATATTTTCTTTTTTTGCTTTTAGACAGTTGCAGTCTGCCGCTCAGGCTAGTGCAGTGGTGTGATTATAGCTCACTTCAGCCTGAAACTTCTGGGCTCAAGTGATCCTCCTGACTCAGCCTCCTGCAGTAGCGGGGATTACAGGCATGTGCCACCATGCCTGGCTAGTATTTTAAAAAATCTTTTTTAGAAAGGAGGTCTCACTATATTGCCCAGGCCGGTCTTGGACTCCTGGCCTCAAGTGATCTTCCCACCTCAGCCTCCTGAGTAGCTGGGATTATAGGCACAAGCCACCATGCCTGGCTCTGATATTTGTATTTTCAAGTTTCTGTCTGTCCCTGGTCAGATAAAATTTCTCCTTTCTCCTGTAGTCTTATACTGCTTGATTTACAGACCTGCTTTAGAGCTTTTTGTTGTCTGTGCTAAATTACAATTATACTGTATTTTAGTCTTCCAGATAGCACTAGGTTTAGTAATTTTTGTATATACAATAATGCATTTCAAATAGCTAGTATTTGTTCAATTGAATTAAGTAGTATGTGGTATTTATCTTGTGGCTTGTATTATTTAAGCTTTTTTTTTCCAAACCTCAAGGAGTAGATTTAATCTACTAAATTGGAACCTATTACAATATCAATAATAAGAGCTACCATTTATTTAGCACTTACTGTGTGCTAGGCACTGTTCTAAGAGTTTTTGTTTATGTATTTAAGCTCTTAATTCTCACAATCCTCGAAATCAGTGACATTATTATTCTTACTTTATGAATGAGAAAATTGAGGCACAGAGAGTTTAAGTAAAAGTCTGAGGTTACATCCCAGTAAGTGTCATAACTTGGACTCAGATACTACGCTTCCAGCAACTTCATTCTTAACTACTATTCCACAACGCCACTTAAAAATCACTGAGTGATCAAAATGGGTTCATTTTTTTTTTGACAGAATGGCTTCTTTTCTTAAAAGAAATAATCAACAAGGGGCAAATTTTATTGTTCATTTATTTCATGAATATTATCATTTACAAGTATACTTACACTCCTGCAGTTTACAGTATGAGTATCTTTCATTAAACCTGTTGGACTCGAATCATCAAGGTATGAAGAAGACTGTAACCTTTAAAAAGTGATACATAAAACATTTTTAATTTTACATATTTTAGAAGGAAATTTTCTCCTCTAAATACATAATAATCTACTAATAAAAATACAGTGAGGAACTTGAAACTGAGTATCATAGCAGGTTTCACAATTAGACTGACTTACTAGGTGCCAGGCTTATTTTTGACTATGGAATGCTGAAAAACACTCCATGATAAATAGAAAAACAAAGCTCTGAGGTAAAAGCTCTTGAGTAAATCGTATCATCTGTCAATATAGCATGTGTTAATAGAATAACACAGCACAGTTTAAAACAGGTGCTCATGTCAAAAATCAGCTCCTCCTCAAGATACCAAATGGCAGAACCAAGAGTAAGGAAAGATTTACTAACATTCTGGAATCTTTTTAAAGTGGAAAATGTGCCATATTTTTACTATAATAGGTCATCCTCAGGTAAAAATCAATGAAACACACACATAGAGAAAAAAATGGCATAAACACAACTTTATGTCTTTATGTGTTCCCAAGAAGGCAGTTGACATTGAGGTGTACAATACGATGGTATACTGTACATATACATAGTAAAATGATTGCTGCAGTTAAATAAATTTACATATTCATCACCTCCCACAGTTACCTGTGTGTATGTGTATGTTGACAGCACCTAAAACCTACTCTCCTAGCAAATCTTCAGTATATAACATTATTAACTATAGTTAGTTCTCATGCTGCACATTCGATCTGTAGACTTACTCATTCTACCTAATGGCAAATTTGTACCTTTTGATTTACTTCTCCCCATTTCCATGCCCTCCCTGCCTCTAGTGAACACCTATCTACTCTATTTTTATTTAGTCAGCTTTTTTTTTCTAAGATTCTGCACATAAGAGAGATGATGCAGTATGTTTCATTCTGTATCTGGCTTATTTCACTTAGCATAATGTCCTGCGAGTTCATTCATATTGTCACTATTTATAATTTGAGACTTCTCTCTTTTTTTTCTTAGTCTAGCTAATGGTTTATCAATTTTATTTTTCAAAAACCCAACTCAGTTTCATCAGTCATTTCTATTGTTTTTCTAATCTTGATTCAATCTGTTTCTGCTCTGATAATTTCCTTCCTTCTGTTGACTTTGGACTTAGTTTGTACTGTTTCTAGTTTCTGGAGGTGTAAAGCTAGGGTTTTTTTCTTAACATAGGTATTTATTGCTATAAACGTCCCTCTTAGAACTGCTTTTTACTGCATTCCATACGTTTTGATATGTTGTGTTTCCACTTTCATTTTTCTCAAGATTTTTAAATTTCCCCTTTGATTTCTTCTTTGACCCACTGGTTGTTCAGGTATGTGTTGTTTAAATTGCACATATTTGTGACTCTTACGATTTTCCTCTTGTTACTGACTTCTAGTTTCTTACCATTGTGGCCAGAAAAGACACCTGATAGGACTTCCATGCTCTTAAATTTTTTAAGACTTGTTTTGTGGCCTAATATATCACCTATCCTGGAGAGTGCTCCATGTGCACTTGAAAAGAACGTGTATTCTGCTGCCATCAGATGGAGTGTTCACGTCTTTAGTCAAGTCCACTGTTTCCATATTGATGTTGTTTGAATGGTCTATCCATTGTTGAAACTGAGGTTTTGAGGTCCCCTACTAATATTGTATTGCTGTATATTTGTCCCTTCAATTTGGTTAATATTTGCTTTATACATTTAGGTGTTCAAGTGTTGAGTGCATATATATTTTCAATTGTTATATCCTCTTGAATTGACCCCTTCATCATTATATAATGATCTTCTTTGTCTCATGACAGTTTTGCAGGGGAGTTTTTTTTTTGCATGTTTTTCAAGACAGGGTCTTGCTGTTGCCCATGCTGGAGTGCAGTGGTCATTCACAGGTATGGTAACAGTGCACTACAGCCTTGAACTCCTGGGCTCAAGTGATCCTCCTGTCATCCTTCCAAATGGCTGGTACTACCGGTGTGTGCCACCATGCCCAGCTTAGTTTTTGACTTAACATCTATTCTGTCTAACATAAGTATGGTCACCCCTGTTCTCTCTTGGTTATCATTTGGATGGAATATCTTTTTCCATCCCTTCACTTTTGGCCTATGTGTGTCCTTAAAACTAAATTGAGTCACTGGTTGCAGCACACAGTTGGATCTTATTTTTTAAATCCATTCAGCCACTCTGTCTTTGATTGAATAATTTAATCCATTTATATGTAATTACTGATAGTAAAGTACCTACTAGGCTATATTGTTCATTGTTCTCTGTTTTGTAGTTCCTTTGTTCCATTCTTCCTTTCTTACTGTCTTCCTTTGTGATTTGATGATTTTTTTGTAGTGGTATGCTTTGATTCCTTTTTCTTTTTCTTGGAAAAAGAACTTATTTGTAGTTATTAGGAAGCCTACATAAAATACCTTGTCATTATAACAGGACATTTTAAGCTGATAATTTAACTTCAGCTGCACATAAAAACTCTACACTTTATTTCTCTCCACATTTTATGTTACTGATGTCACAATTGATATCTTTTACATATCATGTATTCATTAACAAATTATTGTAGCTATAATTATTTTTAATACTTTTGTCTTTTAACTTTTCTATTAGAATTCAAAGTGATTTATGTACTACCATTACAGTATTAGAGTATTTTGAATTTGACTATATTCTTATCTTTACAGAAAGTTTTATATTTCCATTTGTTAATTGGCACCCTTTCAGTTTAACGTGAAGAATTCCCTTTAGCATTCTTGAAAGGTAGATCTCATGGTGATTAACTCCCACAGCTTTTGTCTGTCTGGAAAAGTCCTTATCTACCTTACATTTCTGAAGGACAGCCTTACCACATGTAGTATTCTTGTTTGGCTTTTTTTTTTTTTCCTTGCAGCACTTTGAATATATCATCCTATTCTCTCCCGGCCTGCAAGGTTTCTGCTGAGGAAGCTGCTGAACGCTTATGTGGGTTCTTTTACATGTGACAAGTTGCTTTTTCTCTTCATGCTTTCAAAATCCTCTCCTTCTTTGACTTTTGAGAATTTGATTATAATGTGTCTTGGTGAAGATCTCTTTACATTTAATCTATTTGGGGTTCTTTGGGCTTCATAAATCTGGAACTCCTGGGCTCAATGAACATTCCCTTCTCTGAATTTGGGGGTTTTCCATTGTGTGTGTGTGTGTGTGTGTTTTGTTTTTAATAAGCTCTTTGCCTCTGACTTTCTCTATCCTTCTGGGACACACACATGTGTACATTGGTTTTCTTGAAAGTGTCCCATAAGTCCTATGGGCTTTCTTCACTCTGGAAATCCTATTGTGCCATCTTGCTGGCATCTGATATCACCCCTGTTCATGTTTTAAAATCACTAACTGCTCACTTAGCCTGATGAAAACTACCTCTCCCCTCATCTCTTTACAATCAGATTAATCTTCTGTATCTTGGCTTCCTTCATATTAGTTCCCTGGGCAAAAATCTACTATTTAAGTTCCTCTACTACTTGACTTTACCTTAGTTAGGAACCCCCACTGCTCACCAACTCAATTCCTCTCTCAATTGAGTCTCTGTTTTCTGAAGCCACTATGATTCCTTCTACCTACTTTCATACATTACCTAAGGTGCCTCCTTATATAAATGCCCTCTGTACTTTATGCTGAACATTTAATAGTACCCAGTTGTCAATGTTTAGCTCCATTTCCACTTCTCTTAAAATGCCCTTGCAGTATATATGGTCAAATAATTTTCACTAAGGGTGCCAAGAACACTCAGTGGGGAAAAGGATGGTCTTTGCAACAAATACTATGGGAAAACTGGTTATCCACATGCAAAAGAATGAAGCTGGACTCTTACCTTACCCCATATACACAAACTAACTTAAAGTAGATCAAAGACTAAACTTAGGACCTTAAGACCTAAGACTATAAAACTCTTAGGACGAAATAGTGGAACAGCCTCATGACATTGGATTTGGCAACCATTTCTTGGTATGACACCAAAAACACAGTCAACAAATGAAAATAAATAAATAAATTGGAGTATATAAAAATTAAAAACTTTTGTACATCAAAAAACCTGATAAACAGAGTAAAAAGGCAACCCAAAGACTGAGAGAAAATATTTGCCAATCACATATCTGCTAAGTGGTTAATATCCAGAATATGTGAAGAACTCCCAACTCAACAACAGCAACAAAACAAACAACTTGATTAAATAGTGGGCAAAGGACTTGAATGCACACTTCTCCAAAGAAAATATACAAATGGCCAATAAGCACATGAAAAGGCAGTCGATATCACTAATCAGTAGGAAAATGATAATGACTAGCTCACTGCAGACTTGAATTCCTGGGCTCAAGTGATCCTCCCACCTCAGCCTCCCAAGTAGCTGGGACTACCGCTGTGCCCCACTATGCGTGGCTAATCTCTCTTTTTTTTTTTTGAGATGGGGTCTCGATATGTTGCCCAGGATGGTCTTGAACTCCTAGCCTCAAGTGATCCTCTACCTTGGCCTCCCAAAGTGCTGGGGATTACAAGCATGAGCTACTGCACCTGGCCGTTTATTGTGTTATTATTTTTTTTAAATGTACTAAGCCAGGTAGCCAGGTGTGGTGGTGTGCCCCTGTAGTCCCAGCTGCCTGGGAGGCTGAGGCAGGAGGATCGCTTGAGCATGGGTTGTCCAGGCTGCAGTGAGCCATGATCGCACCGCTGCACTCCAGGCTGGGGGATAGAGCAAGACCCTGCCTCAAAAGAAAATTTAAAAAAACACAATAACTATTCTGTATACTACAATGTTTAAGATATAGAGATATATAAAATTAAATACATAAAGTTTAATATAAAGCTTAATAATTTTACTCTTTATACAAGAAAACTCTTTATACATTAAGATAGTTTGTCTATTTTACCGTATGAAATCCACACATTTTCCACAGTTTATAATTTCTCTTTTAACATTGCTATAATGATATAGTTATGTGTAAGGTTTTAATTTTTATACAATTAAATTTACCAAATATTTTTATTTACAAATTCTGGATTTTTTGATGTTTAGAAAGGACTTTTCAAGTTGAGAATATAAAAATTCATACATGTGTTCTGGAAAAGCTTTAGTTTTATTTTATTTTTAAAAATTATTATTTTTTTTATTACACTTTTAGTTTTAGGGTACATGTACACAACATGCAGGTTTCTTACATATGTATACATGTGACATGTTGGTGTGCTGCACCCATTAACTCTTCATTTAACATTAGGTATATCTCCTAATGCTGTCCCTCCCCTCTTCCCCTACCCCACAACAGGCCCTGGTGTGTGATGTTCCCCTTCCTGTGTCCATGTGTTCTCATTGTTCAATTCCCACCTATGAGTGAGAACATGCGGTGTTTGGTTTTTTGTCCTTGCCATAGTTTGCTGAGAATGATGGTTTCCAGCTTCATCCATGTCCCTACAAAGGACATGAACTCATCATTTTTTATGGCTGCACAGTATTCCATGGTGTATATGTGCCACATTTTCTTAATCCAGTCTATCATTGTTGGACATTTGGCTTGGTTCCCAGTCTCTGCTATTGTGAATAGTGCTGCAATAAACATACGTGTGTATGTGTCTTTAAAGCAGCATAATTTATAATCCTTCGGGTATATACCCAGTAATGGGATTGCTGGGTCAAATGGTATTTCTAGTTTTAGATCCCTGAGGAATCGCCACACTGACTTCCACAATGGTTGAACTAGTTTACAGTCCCACCAACAGTGTAAAAGTGTTCCTATTTCTCAACATCCTCTCCAGCACCTGTTGTTTCCTGACTTTTTAATGATCGCCATTCTAACTGGTGTGAGATGGTATCTCATTGTGGTTTTGATTTGCATTTGTCTGATGGCCAGTGATGATGAGCATTTTTTCATGTGTCTTTTGGCTGCATAAATGTCTTCTTTTGAGAAGTATCTGTTCATATCCTTTGCCCACTTTTTAATGGGGTTGTTTGTTTTTTTCTTGTAAATTTGTTGGAGTTCATTGTAGATTCTGGATATTAGCCCTTTGTCCGATGAGTAGATTGCAAAAATTTTCTCCCATTCTGTAGGTTGCCTGTTCACTCTGATGGTAGTTTCTTTTGCTGTGCAGAAGCTCTTTAGTTTAATTAGATCCCATTTGTCAATTTTGGCTTTTGTTGCCATTGCTTTTGGTGTTTTAGACATGAAGTCCTTGCCCATGCCTATGTCCTGAATGGTATGCCTAGGTTTTCTTCTAGGGTTTTCATGGTTTTAGGTCTAACATGTAAGTCTTTAATCCATCTTGAATTAATTTTTGTATAAGGTGTAAGGAAGGGATCCAGTTTCAGCTTTCTACATATGGCTAGCCAGTTTTCCCAGCACCATTTATTGAATAGGGAATCCTTTCCCCATTTCTTCTTTTTGTCAGGTTTGTCAAAGATCAGATGGTTGTAGATATGTGGCATTATTTCTGAGGGCTCTGTTCTGTTCCATTGGTCTATATCTCTGTTTTGGTACCAGTACCATGCTGTTTTGGTTACTGTAGCTTTGTAGTACAGTTTGAAGTCAGGTAGCATGATGCCTCCAGCTTTGTTCTTTTGGCTTAGGATTGACTTGGCAATGTGGGCTCTTTTTTGGTTCCATACGAACTTTAAAGTAGTTTTTTCCAATTCTGTGAAGAAAGTCATTGGTAGCTTGATGGGGATGGCATTGAATCTATAAATTACCTTGGGCAGTATGGCCATTTTCATGATATTGATTCTTCCTACCCATGAGCATGGAATGTTCTTCCATTTGTTTGTATCCTCTTTTATTTCATTGAGCAGTGGTTTCTAGTTCTCCTTGAAGAGGTCCTTCACATCCCTTGTAAGTTGGATTCCTAGGTATTTTATTCTCTTTGAAGCAATTGTAAATGGGAGTTCACTCATGATTTGGCTCTCTGTTTGTCTGTTATTGTTGTATAAGAATGCTTGTGATTTTTGCACATTGATTTTGTATCCTGAGACTTTGCTGAAGTTGCTTATCAGCTTAAGGCGATTTTGGGCTGAGACAATGGGGTTTTCTAGATATACAATCATGTCATCTGCAAACAGGGACAATTTGACTTCCTCTTCTCCTAATTGAATACCTTTTATTTCCTTCTCCTTCCTTATTGCCCTGGCCAGAACTTTCAACACTATGTTGTATAGGAGTGGTGAGAGACGGCATCCCTGTCTTGTGCCAGTTTTCAAAGGGAATGCTTCCAGTTTTTGCCCATTCAGTATGATATTGGCTATGGGTTTGTCATAGATAGCTCTTATTATTTTGAGATATGTCCCATCAATATCCAATTTATTGAGAGTTTTTAGCATGAAGCGTTGTTGAATTTTGTCAAAGGTCTTTTCTGCATCTATTGAGTTAATCATGTGGTTTTTGTCATTGGTTCTGTTTATATGCTGGATTACATTTATTGATTTGCGTATGTTGAACCAGCCTTGCATCCCAGGGATGAAGCCCACTTGATCATGGTAGATAAGCTTTTTGATGTGCTGCTGGATTTGGTTTGCCAGTATTTTATTGAGGATTTTTGTATCCATGTTCATCAGGGATATTGGTCTAAAATTCTCTTTTTTTGTTGTGTCTCTGCCAGGCTATGGTATCAGGATGATGCTGGCCTCATAAAATTAGTTAGGGAGGATTCCCTCTTTTTCTATTGATTGGAATAGTTTCAGAAGGAATGGTACCAGCTCCTCCTTGTACCTCTGGTAGAATTCGGCTGTGAATCCATCTGGTCCTGGACTTTTTTTGGTTGGTAAGCTATTAATTATTGCCTCAATTTCAGAGCCTGTTATTGGTCTATTCAGGGATTCAGCTTCTTCCTGGTTTAGTCTTGGGAGGCTGTATGTGTCAGGAATTTATCCATTTCTTCTAGATTTTCTAGTTTATTTGCGTAGAGGTGTTTATAGTATTCTCTGATGGTAGTTTGTATTTCTGTGGGGTCGGTGGTGATATCCCTTTTATCATTTTTTATTGCATCTATTTGATTCTTCTCTCTTTTCTTCTTTATTAGTCTTGCTAGCGGTCGATCAATTTTTTTGATCTTTTCAAAAAACCAGCTCCTGGATTCATTGATTTTTTGAAGGGTTTCTTGTGTCTCTATCTCCTTCAGTTCTGCTCTGATCTTAGTTATTTCTTGTCTTCTGCTAGCTTTTGAATGTGTTTGCTCTTGCTTCTCTAGTTCTTTTAATTGTGATTTTAGGGTGTCAATTTTAGATCTTTCCTGCTTTCTCTTGTGGGCATTTAGTGCTATAAATTTCCCTCTACACACTGCTTTGAATGCATCCCAGAGATTCTGGTATGTTGTGTCTTTGTTCTCGTTGGTTTCAAAGAACATCTTTATTTCTGCCTTCATTTCATTATGTACCCAGTAGTCATTCAGGAGCAGGTTGTTCAGTTTCCATGTAGTTGAGTGGTTTTGAGTGAGCTTCTTAATCCTGAGTTCTAGTTTGATTGCAATATGGTCTGAGAGATAGTTTGTTATAATTTCTGTTCTTTTACATTTGCTGAGGAGTGCTTTACTTCCAACTATGTGGTCAATTTTGGATTAGGTGTGGTGTAGTGCTGAAAAGAATGTATATTCTGTTGATTCGGGGCAGAGAGTTCTGTAGATGTCTATTAGGTCTGCTTGGTGCAGAGCTGAGTTCAGTTCCTGGATATCCTTGTTAACTTTCTGTCTCGTTGATCTGTCTAATGTTGACAGTGGGGTGTTAAAGTCTCCCATTATTATTGTGTGAGGGTCTAAGTCTCTTTGTAGGTCTCTAAGGACTTGCTTTATGAATCTGGGTGCTCCAGTATTGGGTGCATATATATTTAGGGTAGTTAGCTCTTCTTGTTGAATTGATCCCTTTACCATTATGTAATGGCCTTCTTTGTCTCTTTTGATCTTTATTGGTTTAAAGTCTGTTTTATCAGAGATTAGGATTGCAACCCCTGCCTTTTTTTGTTTTCCATTTGCTTGGTAGATCTTCCTCCATCCCTTTATTGTGAGCCTATGTTTGTCTCTGCACATGAGATGGGTCTCCTGAATACAGCACACTGATGGGTCTTGACTCTTTATACAATTTGCCAGTCTGTGTCTTTTAATTGGAGCATTTAGCCCATTTACATTTAAGGTTAATATTGTTATGTGGGAATTTGATCCTGTCATTATGATATTAGCTGGTTATTTTGCTCGTTAGCTGATGCAGTTTCTTCCTAGCCTCAATGGTTTACAATTTGGCATGTTTTTGCAGTGGCTGGTACTGGTTGTTCCTTTCCATGTTTAGTGCTTCCTTCAGGAGCTCTTGTAAGGCAGTCCTGGTGGTGACAAAATTTCTCAGCATTTGCTTGTCTGTAAAGTATTTTATTCCTCTTTCACTTATGAAGCTTAAGTTTGGCTGGATATGAACTTCTGGGTTGAAAATTCTTTTCTTTAACAATGTTGAATATTGGCCCCCACTCTCTTCTGGCCTGTAGAGTTTCTGCTGAGAGATCAGCTGTTAGTCTGATGGGCTTCCCTTTGTGGGTAACCTGACCTTTCTCTCTGGCTGCCCTTAACATTTTTTCCTTCATTTCAACTTTGGTGAATCTGACAATTATGTGTCTTAGAGTTGCTCTTCTCGAGGAGTATCTTTGTGGCGTTCTCTGTATTTCCTGAATCTGAATGTTGGCCTGCCTTGCTAGATTGGGGAAGTTCTCCTGGATAATATCCTGCAGAGTGTTTTCCAACTTGGTTCCATCCTCCCCGTCACTTTCAGGTACACCAATCAGACGTAGATTTGGTCTTTTCACATAGTCCCATATTTCTTGGAGGCTTTGTTTGTTTCTTTTTATTCTCTTTTCTCTAAACGTCTCTTCTCACTTCATTTCATTCATTTGATCTTGCATCACTGATACCCTTTCTTCCAGTTGATCGAATTGGCTACTGAGGCTTTGCATTCGTCATGTAGTTCTCATGCCGTTGTTTTCAGCTCCATCAGGTCCTTTAAGGACTTCTCTGCATTGGTTATTCTTGTTAGCCATTCATCTAATTTTTTTTTCAAGGTTTTTAACTTCTTTGCCATGGGTTCAAACTTCCTCCTTTAGCTCGGAGTAGTTTGATCATCTGAAGCCTTCTTCTCTCATCAAACTCATTCTCTGTCCAGCTTTGTTCCATTGCTGGTAAGGAGCTGCGTTCCTTTGAAGGAGGAAAGGCGCTCTGATTTTTAGAGTTTCCAGTTTTTCTGCTCTGTTTTTTCCCCATCTTTGTGGTTTTATCTACCTTTGGTCTTTGATGATGGTGACGTACAGATGGAGTTTTGGTGTGGATGTCCTTTCTGTTTGTTAGTTTTCCCTCTAACAGTCAGGACCCTCAGCTGCAGGTGTGTTGGAGTTTGCTGAAGGTCCACTCCAGACCTTGTTTGCCTGGGTATCAGCAGCGGAGGCTGCAGAACAGCGGATATTGGTGAACAGCAATTGTTGCTGCCTGATCGTTCCTCTGGAAGTTTTGTCTCAGAGGAGTACCTGGCCGTGTGAGGTGTCAGTCTTCCCCTACTGGGGGGTGCCTCCCAGTTAGGCTACTCAGGGGTCAGGGACCCACTTGAGGAGGCAGTCTGTCCATTCTCAGATCTCCAGCTGTGTGCTGGGAGAACCACTACTGTCTTCCAAGCTGTCAGACAGGGACATTTAAGTCTGCAGAGTTTTCTGCTGCCTTTTGTTTGGCTATGCCCTGCCCCCAGAGATGGAGTCTACAGAGGCAGGCAGGCTTCCTTGAGCTGCGGTGGGCTCCAACCAGTTCGAGCTTCCCGGCTGCTTTGTTTACCTACTCAAGCCTCGGCAATGGTGGGCACCCCTCCCCCAGCCTCGCTGCCGCCTTGCAGTTTGATCTCAGACTGCTGTGCTAGCAATGAGCGAGGCTCCGTGGGTGTAGGACCCTCCGAGCCAGGCATGGGATATAATCTCCTGGTGTGCTGCTTGCTAAGACCATTGGAAAAGTGCAGTGTTAGGGTGGGAGTGACCCGATTTTCCAGGTGCCCATCTGTCACCCCTTTGACTAGGAAAGGGAATTCCCTGACCCCTTGCGCTTTCCGGGTGAGGCGATGCCTCACCCTGCTTCGGCTCACGCTTGGTGCGCTGCACCCACTGTCCTGCACCCACTGTCCAACAATCCCCAGTGAGATGAACCCAGTACCTCAGCTGGAAATGCAGAAAGCACCCGTCTTCTGTGTCGCTCATGCTGGGAGCTGTAGACTGGAGCTGTTCCTATTCGGCCATCTTGGCTCCACCCGAAAAGCTTTAGTTTTATAGTTCTACTTTGAACTCTGATTTATCTGTAATTTATTTTAGTGTAAAGAATAAAGTTGGAGTCTAGCTTTATTTTTTCCCCAAATGGTTATACAGTTATCATAATGCCCTTTAATGTTTAATTCATTTCTACCTACTGATTTAAGGTGTCATTTTTAATTTTTACCATATAATAAATTTGCATGTGCATTTGATTGTATTTCTGAAATATAATCTTTTACATTGATCTATTTGTGGGTTGCACTAAAATGTTTTAGTGGTTGTAGCTTTATAACGTATTTTAATATCTGACAGCATTAGTCTCACTTTATTACTATTATTTTTCATAAATTTCTAGATATTTTAATGTGATTAGTATAATCTGTTGGATTCCAAAAAAAAAAAATGCATGGTGGTATTTTTTTTTTTTTTTTTTTGAGACAGGGTCTTGCTCTTTTGCCTAGACTGGAGTAAGTGGCAGGATCACAGCTGACTACAGCCTTGACACTGCCCCACCAGCCCCTCTCCCTCCACCCCACTCTAGTGATCCTCCCACCTTAGCCTCCCAAGTAGCTGGGACTATAGGCGTGCACCACCACATCCAGCTAATTTTTTTTTTTTTGTAGAGATGAGGTTTTGCCATGTTGCCCAGGCTTGTCTCAAATTTCTAGACTCAAGCAATCCATCTGCCTCGGCCTCCCCAAGTGCTAGGATTACAGGCATGACCCACCATGCCTGGCCACACGGTGGTATTTTGACTAGATCCACATTAAATTCACAGGCTAGTTTAAGGAACAGGACAATTCTTACAATTCTGCCTTCCTGTTGAAAAACAGCTTATATCTGAAGTTATATGAGTTATCTTTTTATATATCTTTGTGAATTTTAAAGTTTTTTTTCATGTTGGTATGAATATTTCTTATAAAATTTATATCTTTTTGTTGCTACTGTAAAGATAATATTTTCCATTATATTAAACTGGTTATCATTTGTATATAGGAAGGCTACTGATTTTTGTATATTGATTTTATAAATATGATATTTTTACTTTTGAAAATATTTGCAGCAATAAAACATTACCTCTGTAAATCCAGAATTTCATTTGCAATATCTGTTCCAATACTACCAGCACCAAGTACTGTTCCAGTAGACATTCCAGGTACACTCATACAGGACTGTCTAGAGGATTCTAAGTAACAGCAAAAGGAGAAATTCAGTTGAGGACTTTATCTTTCTTTCAATTCAAATAATTTCACAGTTCTCTCCTTAAAAGAAACAGACTAGCTGCATCCAAAAAAGTTGGAAAACACTCATCCTTGCATTACATATGTAATTCATGATGCTCTTTGAATCAAATGTGTAGAGTCACTGAGGGCACAATTGTGACTAGTAACCCTTGACTCCAGTCTCTTGCCACTTTAATCTCCACAGCAATACTACTTCAATGTTTCCTAAGATTTTTATTTTTACAAATAATACATTAATATATTCCTGTGGTGAAAAACTCACACAGATAAGCAAAAACTCCCCCAATACTTTTCGTTAATTTGTCCAAGAGTGTCACAATTGACAAGGAACAATGTTAGCTGCTAGGGCTGAAAAATGGATAAAACATCATTCCTGCCTTAAAGAACTGTCTACTGGAAAGCAAGTTGAATGAACAACTAATTGCAGTATAATGCAAGATTATAACAGAAAAGTGAGCAAAGCACTGTGGGAATTTTGAGGGGGACATGGTGATACCTCTGGGAGTTTAAATGGGATATCTATTTCCCGTTGAATTTAGTCTCTTCTAAACCAAAGTTGGGATTCCTATAACCCAACCTGCAGAACTACTTTTAATTTCACCTTCAAATTTTCCCCTCTCCAGGACAGAAAAAGATAGTAATAGTCTTAATAATATGTCTTAGTAATAAGTCTTCCATCATCTAAAAGTAAGCTTACCTTCTGATGATTGAGAGCTACAAGGTAAAAATGATGCTTCTCCAGGCTCACTATGTCCCCTAGAATTAAAAACACCATAGGTGATTTACTTTCTAAGGTGAAGGAAACTGTTATAGCAACTACACTAAGATCTGTATATTTAATTTGTCAATTTGTGGCCCATTTATGTTTTATATACACATATTGTTAGTATCACCACCAGAAATCAAGGTCTTAATGTGCTAAGTATCATGGTGTTTGCCAAATGCCCCATTCCTCTATAAAGTATGTGTTCTCACAATAACAAACTCTCAGTTCCTGTACTAATAATAAGTAGGCAAAGACTACTGGGATGGGTGACAGGAAATACTGGAAGTATTAAACTTTTTTTTTTTTTATTATTTTTCTCTCAGTATTGTAGACAAGGAAATAACTGGTTCAAGGAAACCTTACAGCAATTTCAAAGAGAAACTTACAGAAAAAAAGTAAGACTTACAACGGGGCCATCCTAGCCTCCTATAAAATCAGGAAAACTTGACTCTTCCTTCAGGCTGACACAGCTACAGACCAGAGCTTGCTAAAGCAACACCTGGGCTGGATTTCTGTTCTCCCCCGTGCTGAGCATGCCTACACAGACATGGCGGCACCCCAGGCTTATAAGATGTGCAGGTAAAAATGACAGGGAGGACAAAACAATTTCTTACAATAATGCACAGTAGAAATCCACGTCTGCATTGTTTACTGAATGGCCATGGAGGGTAGGAAGAAAATGCTTGAATAAATGCCTTTACCCTCACATATTATATCAAGTAAGAAGGAATGTATTACAGAAATGAAAACTTTTAGCTTAATTCTGAGAACTAATGTCAATGAACAGTAAATGAATTACTCAAAAGATAAATCTCAAGTTACAATAAAAGGCCAGAGGATCACACAGTTTTAATGGTTTAGCAAGATGAGAGGAGAAAAGCAAAGAGACTCATTTGAAATCAATATAAAGGTCTTAACATAAAAAATTACTTACAAAACTAAAGTGTTGACAGATACAATATATTCCAGTTCTTTTGTCCAAGGATTTGTGAAACTAAACCATTGGCTTTTTAAAGTTACAAAAGAGCCATCTTTTGCTCTGAATTTGTAGGAATCTGTAAGTATTTTCTCCTTACTCTGTAGAACTTAACGAGAAAAGATAATTATCAGCATAATAGTCAATGACTATAAAAATCAATGTTGTGAAGATTAATTCAAACTTCAAATTTCACAGGAATGGGAAATTAAGAGTTAAAACTGTCATTTTAAATTCCCCAAAATGTATTCTGCTCAATGCATACCTACCTGCTTTGTGCTTGTCAGTCAAATTATTGTGGTCATCTTGATGAAAATATTCATAACAAGAAGTTCCCAAAAGTTCCTGAGGCAGATATCCTAAAATCGCTGTTGCCCTGGTTTCAAAATTGAAAATAAACTTCAGAAGTGGTGAGTGTACTCCCTCCCAGAAGACTGTAGGCCCACATATGGTCAGGATCGTAAAGAAGTGCACAGGGTAGGGGATGAGTGACCCATGCATATCACTGGGCTCCCCTCGGCTGCCCTAGACCCAGACTAGAGCTGCAACACAGAACAGGCACCCAGGCATGAAGCCTCCACCCGATCCAGGCTGTGCTCCTACTAGCTTTTGCCAGTAAAATCGTGGCCACAGATCATGCCCAGTTTCTGCACCACTGGCTAAGAGACACTCTTCCAAGTTTACATGTTGGCTTAAGCAAATTTACTGACATGTCCATATTCTTATTTCATTTAAACTTTATTTTCTGTTCTGAAACAGAAAAAAGAAAAAGAAAAACTAGCAGTGCTACTAAGACACGCCTTTAATAGCTTCAAATATCCCATTGAATTCTAATCATTATAACATGTAAATGTTTACCTTTGATCTACATAGACAAATTTTCCATTCACTGCAAACCGGGTTATAAATTCAGTTGGTTTCACATTAATCTCTCCACTGTTCTGTGGAACAATATATGGCTGTAATCTTCCAATGGCCACAAGGCAGGTAAAATTACTGTTGTCTTTCTTACTGTTCCTTTCTTCTTCCATTCCAACAATATTTGGAGGCCAGCTTCTCAAGTAACCAGTGCAATGGATAGTATAGAATTTTCTGTGCTCTAATTCAAAGATTTTTAAAAAGGACATTTGGATCATTATAAATAAGTCATTAAATTTCTTATATTGACATCTATAATAGTTATAATTGTGCTATAAAATGCTCTTTAAATATGCTAAAATATGAAAGGGGAATGGTATTCCATTGAAAAGATATCACCAATTTTGTTTATTTCATGACTTTATTATTAATAGATTATTTTTCTCAGGAACTAAATTGTATGTACTACATGAAAAAACGAACAGGTTGCTCTATTTTAGGATTAACTAGGTCTATGACTTAACATATTTCCAAGTCAATTTTTAAAATTATAGTAATTTACATCTATTAGAAAAAATTAATCCTCATGCCCCCTTGCAATATTGTTTTCACCTTATTAAGTTTTTTGGTATATCGTAACTTATATTCAAAACTTTAAAAAGACATTTAAATAATTATGCATACATTCTTAAATTTCTTATGTTAGTGCTTATAATGGTTAACAGATACATAAGGTTATAATAGATTATAGAAACATTTTAAAGAACACTTGGAGAAATTTATAGTGAAAAGTACAAAAATAAAATAAATTTCACTTTTTAGGAAAATCCCAAGCAATTAACTCATAGGAAGAAGCTTGTCAAGCATGTCCACCAAAATAATAAAAAATTGGAAATAATCTATATCCTCAAATATCATGCTTAAGCAAAAAATAAATCCAATACGGGCATAAACAATGAGTAGGCTACAGATTATGGCATGCCACAAAAGTGATTTAAAGGTTAAAAAGTAGGGGGAAAGCCTGATAAAAATTATTTGAAACAGCTGTTTTTATGATAAGATTTAGAAAAGATTAGAACAATCATTGTTTCAAATTGGCACTATTTGGTAAAAGTTCCATTACAATAAATCCTTTAAATTTTTGTTTAAATAGAACATGATATGAACTGTCATATAAGATAGTAGTTAACAATAATAGCAAAGATTTAGAGAATACTTTATGTGTCACAGTCTGTTTAAAGTGCTTTAAACGTATAACTCATTTAATCTTAACAGCTCTATGGGATGTTCTAGTATCTCCATTGTCCTAGGAAACTGAGTTAATGGCAAGGTCACACCAGGTACAGGATGGAGCTGGGGTTAAAACTCAGGCTGGCTCCAGAGCCCACTTTCTAAATCACTAATGCCACACCATTTGCTGATAGTGAGTGCTCTGTCACCAAAGATGTTCAAATAGGAGTTGCCTGGGTGACAGAAGGGGAGGGGCACAAAGGTGTTCCAGCCAGAGGGAATGACCAGTGAGAACTGAGAGAGAGCGGTCAGATGCGGCTGAAGCATATGCTGCAGTGGGAAAGGCTGGAAAATAAAGCAGGGAACAGAGGGCAGGTTGTAAGCCATGCATAAAACCTTGTATCCAACATTTCACAAACACCACTCCCTTCCCAGGCCACAGATGCCCTAAATTACAAAACTCCTTACCTCTTCCAACCCAAACCCAGTCTTTATCACTTATTCCCTACCCTGTTTACTGGTGCCACGATCAACCCAGGCAGTTCAAAGAGAAATCTGGGGGTCATCCTAGGCTCTACCTCCCCCTAACAACCCAGATGCCTCAAAGGAATTAAAATTGAGTAAGTACGAATAAAAGTTTTCATTTAACAAAGCTAGATGGCAGTTAAAAATAAAAGGGCTTATACATCAGGTTCAGCATTTTTGCAAACTTATGAATGATACTGACTAAAAATATTCCACTCTACTGAAAATATAGACTTAAGAAAGTCTGTATTTTTAATTTATATATGTAATCTCATCACATAGAACCTAGCCTGTTGCATTTACTTCTCTCTTACAACAGGTTACTATCTATATTTCCAAATCGAACTGTCCCTCACTTCTCACTGTGAACATTTATTCAGTTGGCAAATTTCTAGCTGGGATTGTGTAATTCTATCAACTGCAATTCATTTGATCAGCTATCTAAGTTTTTTTTTTAAAAATCCCATTTAATCCATTTCCTATTTAGAAAAGAAAAAAATACAGCTCGCTACCAGTGCAGTATTCTCAGGGCAAATGGGAAGTGGGTTAAAAATTCTTATCTCAATAATTCTTTAGCTTTTTATCTAAATATTGGAGTCATGAGGACTGATCCTTGCCAAACTATTTACTTACATCGGCTCCACAGGCTAGATTCAAGTGTCATCTACTCCATGAGTTCCCAAATGTGTGTGGGGGTGAGGAGAGGGAGAAAAAGCCTGTATTACCCTAAACACTGCCTTAATTTACAGGACATCCTTTCAAAATCCTTTATGAAATTTTTCCTCAACATGTTGCAGGCTAGGTCTCTCAACTTGGTGTCTTGCTGTCTTCACTTGAAATCTTGAGGAAGCAGATCCAAAACAAGGATTCAAATATAAGAAGTTTATTTGAGGGGTGGTCCCAGGAAACACTGGCAGGGAACTGGGAAATGAGACACGGAAGAGAAGGAAGCTAATAAAGTACCTGAAACCTGCAAGTTCCTGGAGCCACAGGCAGAACTGGCTCCAGAGACCAGAGGAGATCAGGCGGAGAGTCCCGGCTTTGGACACTGGAGGCCAGTGGCATGCCCTGTCCGCAGTAGTGGGTGCTGGGGGGATATGCCATGGGGCACTGACAGATAGCATCTGCCACACATGCACAAGAA
This sequence comes from Homo sapiens, assembly GCF_000001405.40. Lineage (NCBI taxonomy): Eukaryota > Metazoa > Chordata > Mammalia > Primates > Hominidae > Homo > Homo sapiens. The sequence continues at coordinate 27,397,875 of NC_000012.12, read as the reverse complement.
ACAAGTGGATTCTGGGTGTACTGTTGCACTTCTTCCTCATGCACAATTATCTTATGAAGATAAATTTAAGAAACACTTAAGACATTTGGTAGCAGTCACCCATCCTTCATCAGCCTGCGATTTCACAACTTCAGATACCTGAGTAATTGTCTCTCTACCTTAGAAGCTTTTTCAAAGTCTGAATCCGTGACCCATGAAGGTTTGATTCAGGATATAAATAATTTTTTAAAATGTCAATGTTATTTTTAAAAAATCTTTTATTATGTAAAATCTCAAACATAATGCAAAATCAGAAATAAACTTGGGTAACTCATCTTGAGAAATCCTGAGAAATGGCCTTTCCATAAATCTTAAATTCAACTTCCAATTAAAATAAAAAGGGCTGCTCTCTAGTCTTCCTCTAAGTTTAAATGTAACTGACATGTCATGGTAAAAGGGAAGAAAAACACCTTTACTAACCACAGGCTTTCATCATTAATAATGAGCAGTCTAAAACACAGTGAATTGGCTGGGCGTGGTGGCTCACGCCTATAATCCCAGCACTTTGGGAGGCCAAGGTTGGCGGATCACAAGGTCAGGAGATCAAGACCATCCTGGCTAAAATGGTGAAACCCCATCTCTACTAAAAATACAAAAAATTAGCCAGGTTTGGTGGCATGTGCCTGTAGTCCCAGTTACTTGGGAGGCTGAAGCAGGAGAACGGCTTGAACCCAGGAGGCAGAGGTTGCAGTGAGCCGAGATCATGCCACTGCACTCCAGCCTGGACCACAGAGCAAGACTCCATCTCAATAAATAAATAAACAAACAAACAAACAAACAAACAAACAAAACCACAGTGAATTCCACTGGTTAATTACTATTTGAAAGAGTAATTTCAAAACGACCATATGAAAAATGTAATTTCACTTGACAGACACTCTCCCTGGTTAAAGCAGAAGACAAAATGACCCTCAAGCAGGTCATCCAGGTGGCAAATCAGGGTTTATATTCTGCAGTAACCTTATCCTGGCCCAGCTGTCTACAGGCAGTTCTCAAACCAGGTCCTGCAAGGAAGGGCCACACTGAATGCTGACACATTCCCTTACCATTGCTTAGGCCTGTGCATTTGGTACAGACCTCTAGTGTGTTAAGTGAATATGTGGTTCCAGGGCTTGAGCAGATTCAAAACTCCTTTTTGAAAAGATATTTGCCTCTGAGTGCAAGCATCTGTGTGGCCCAGCTTGGCGTGGGAGTGAACATCCTGGTGTGGGCAGGAACACATTCCTACAGCAGGCGCCCACTCCCTCGCTGTGTGTCTGCTGCAAAAATCATCCAGAATCTCTTTCACGAAAACCTTCCGGCATCTAGGAAGCAACTCTAGTAGGTGGCATGGCATACAGATTTTAAAGCCAGATTGCTGATTCTGTCACTCTATATGTGACTTTAGAAAAATTACACAACCTTCTAAAAGTGCAGTTTCCTCATCTGTGCTCTGCACAGAACTGTTAGGGAGATTAAACTGGATAATTATGCAACATGCTTGGCATATAGTAGAATCTTAATAATTATTCACTCACTCCTTTCTCTGTTTTCTCTTCTCTTCTTTCTGAGCTGCAAATAGCTACCATTTATTGAGTGCTTCCTAGAAGCCAAGCACTGCATGAGCCACGGGTGATCCTAACCACACTCTCAGGAGATGCTGTCATTACCCACTGTATTAGTCTGCTCAGGTTGTCGTAACAAAATTCCAGACTGGATGGTTTCAAAAACAGAAATGTTGTATAGGGGTCTACCTTATAACCTTATTTACCCTTAATTACATCTTTAAAGGCTCTAACTACGAATACAGTCACACTGGGGCCTAGCGCTTCAACATACAAACTTTGGGGGAAAACAATTCACCCTGTACCACCCATTTTCCATATATTAAGAGAAACTTGCCTAAGGTCGCACAATTGTTAAGAAGCAGACCTGACACTAAAACCCTACTGAATTCAGAGCCCAGGCCCTTTCTACTCTGTCCTACAGCATGGCTGTTGGGAGGCAGAGTCTAGTGGGAGAACCTGGAACATTAGAGCAACTCAAAAATGTATTTGTTCCTTTAGTTCCTCCCAGAATTCAACTACGAATTAACTCTAATTGACCATTTGCCAGATATTCTTGAAATATCTATATTTTCCCAATAAGATTATCATGTATTTCAAAGGAAAGAAATCATTCCTACCTCTTCTATAAATGTGTAAAACTTGCAATAAAAAATCATTTTAGGAACCCCATGGAAGGACTAAAATTTGATTAGTACATTCTCAAGAATGCTGCTTGGTTGTTTTTTTTTCTTAAACCTATGACTGTACACATGCATTTTTGCTTGAAAATTGAATATTTAAAAGACCACTTCAAAATACCATAGCAGGGCTATGCAGTTCCACGGAGGACATCCCACTTTCCTTCTTGTATCTTTGCAAAGGGTTAAAAGTCCGCAGATTATTAGACGTCCAAGATTATCATCAGTGACTGACTTGAGCTCCCATATCTAGGAAAAATCCTCCAAGAATGTATATATTCAGTCATGTGTTGTCTAGAATTTCACAAAACAATGAGAGGAAGAATTAAAGGTGACAGAAAGGAGGAGGAGCCCAGACAAGGTGGAGTCCTGCTATTGCTTTGTGACTTCTAGTTCCATATTTGAAGCCAAATTTTAAAATGCCAATTTAATTAACCGACATTTATTTTCAGCAAGGCCCAGATTCCTTTGGTTCTCAGGGCAGAGCCTTTTCAGATTTCTTTCTCATGAGAACTACGGTATAGAAAATGATGCAAGTTATTTGCAGTCTGAGGTTGGGCTGCCATAGCAAAATAGCAGACTTGGTAGCTTCAACAACAGGAACTTATTTTCTCACAGTTCTGGAGGCTGGAAGCCTAGAGATGGAGGTGTCAGCAGGGCTGGGTTCTGGTGAGGGCTGTCTTTCTGGCTTGCAGATATACACCAACTTGTTGTGTGCTCACATGGCCTTCCCTTGCTCACTGCATTCATGCAGAGACAAAAAGCTCTCTGGTGCCTCTCCTTACAAGAACACTAATCCCATGATGAGGTCCTCATCCTCATGACCTCATCCAAACCTAATTATCTCCCAAAGGCCCAATCTCCAAATACCATCATGTCGGGAATTAAGGCATCAACATACGAATTCTGGGGGGACAATTCAGTCCACAGCATTTGCTAAAAACTTATTGAGATAAAATCTAAAAAAAATGTTGAAATTGCTTCCTTAGGTAAAAGAGAAAGATTATAATGTATATTCATTCATTTAATTCATAATCGTTCCTGTGGATTTGAGAGTGGTTATATGGGCAGTCACCCAGGAACAAAGGACAAGAGGATTGTCACTTATGCCTTCAGGAAATGTTTATTGAATGTCTACTATGGGCCAGAAACAACAGACAGAAATGCAGCTCTCATTCTCGTGTGGGAGGCAAGTATTAAAAAGTTAAGTAATTTCAATACAGTGTGGAAGGGCAGCAAATCTGAGAGAAGCTCAGGATTACTCATGTGGGTACCTGGGACTCAAGCCACCAGAGTTGGGAGGGTATCAGGGATGGTTTCCTGGAAAGAGGGGATGCCTGGGTTTCAATGTCCAGGGTCTGCAGACAGACTTGTGTGTTGTAGTCAGGCATGGTGGCTCACACCTGAAATCCTAGCCTTTTGGGAGGCTGAACTGGGAGGACTGCTTAAGGCCAGGAGTTTGAGACCAGCCAGAGCAATATAGTCAGACCCCATCTCTACAAAAAATTTTAAACTTAGAGGGATGCAGTGATACATATCTGTAGTCTCAGCTACTTGGGAGGCTGAGGCGGGAAGATCATCTGAGCCCAGGAGTTTGAGGCTGCAGTGAGCTATGACTGCACCACTGCACAAGTGTGTTATGTCTGTAATTGTTACAAAGTGAATAGCACCAAAAAACTGAGTAATCTTTCAGTATTCAAAAACTATTATTAATTCAGCAAAGATGTCATTCACATCACACTTTCCACCACCCACTTATTAGTTTACATGTTTCTTGGCTGCCTCTAGCATATTAGGGCCATCTCACATAAGGTCCACTACAGCAGTACTTGTCTACCTGCTCCCCAGTGTGTCCTTTGCATTTGGCATAGTACCTGGCACATAGTACACACTCAATAAACTGTTCATTCACCAACATCTATTGTTGTCAGACAACGATCTCAGGTTTATCCCAATCATTTTCCCCTCAGCACAGCCAATGTGCAGGGATCTTTTCAGAAATAAGACTGTGAAAGAAGCTAGGAGAAAATACAGCTCAGGGAGGAATCTTTAGTCCTAGGCTTGAGCACTGCTGTCCAGGGCATCCCTACTTACCATTTCTCACACTCTCAGAGAATCTTGAGAAAAGAGTCTAAAGCAGTGACTGTCAAAGTAGGCTCTCTGGATTAACAGCATCAGCCACACCTGGGAGCTTGCTAGAAATGCACATTCTTGGACCCCACCTCAAACTGATTCAATCTGTGTTTTAAAAATCCTTCCAGGTGATTCCAATGCAGGCTAAAGTTTGAGAACCATGTGTCTAAAGGTATAATTTAAAATGTATTTATTCAGTGCCCCTAAATTCTCCTGAATATCAGGGAGGAGTTCAAATGGTGATAGTGGATTTGGTTGGAAGATCAGGCCACAAGAGAATGGGGTTTTGCCAAGAGGTTTCTGAGTAGAAGCTCAGCCTAGATAAGTATTTATTTTCAAGTTCAAGAATATAAATTAGTTTGAATGTAGATATGGGTTTGAGATGGAGAAGGCTGGGTAAGTTTACTTATGTCAGAAGAGAGAATGAAACTGGGAGAAGTGGCAGGGAGGATTAGATTAGGGTGGAGGGGAGAGAATACAGAGGCTGAAAATGAAGCCTGTAGAGTTGCAAGCTTTACCAGTAAAGAGCAAGATGATGGGGTAGGGGGCAGAGGGCGAAATCAGGTTTCACAAAAATGGAAGGTTATAATGGGCACCAGCCAGACACCAACACAAACATGACTAAAATACTAAGTCAGTCCATGTGGGAAATCTCCCAGGAGGAAAGACAATTCAATCTGGTCATCTTTAAAACACATACAAAATTTGACCATTCTAGCCTCTACTCAATTTATAACTTGCATCAAACATTACAGATTTCAGCCACCTTAAGGCTGTTTTATTGGCTGTCATGTTTTCCTCTTACGGATTTCTGTGTAGATTCGGTGATTTACAAATGATTGGATCCTTATGGATGGATTAATTAGAGGTGAACCAACACAGTGTTGGTTCACCTCTGGTTAAAGCCTAACAGTAAAACATACCACATTCTGACTCCTTGGATCACCCACACAGAAGGAATATTCCTGCCCTTGGAGACTATTTTCACATCATACGGCCATGTCCTTCCTAGCTGGTCGCTATGGTATGACTAAGATGACTGATGTGGGAAGGAAGGCAGAGAGAACAGGCACTCTGGGGCAGTGACAATAATGGCACCTGCCATCGGCTCTGCACTGTCCTAAGAGTTTAGGTGGACTATTTCCAATAGTGTTTGTAAGAGCTCCTAACATCGGTGTCACTATGCTGGGAACCAGGCTAAGCACGTGATGTGTATTAACTCATTTAATCCTGGTAACAACCCTATTATTGGGGTCCTATTATTCCCATTTTACAACTGAGGGAAGTAAGGGCCAGAAGGATTTAGTAATTTATCTTAAGTCACATAGTTGAGTTAGGATTCAAATCTAAACCCTTTGGCTCTAGAACCTACTCATTTATCTGCTGTGCTAAACCACAGAGTCCTGTGAATATTCCTGTGTTAAAGATATGGAAACTGAAGCTCAGAGGGATTAAGAAACTTGCTTACGATCACACAGCTAGCAAGTCGTAGAGCTAAAATCTGATCCCCACTGGTTGGATTCCACAGCCTCTTCACCTCTATTTCGGCTGTGACTTCAAGCCCAGGAAGCTTCATATGTGACGTTAGACAGCTCTCCACCACTCAGAGCCTTGGGCAAGAGGGAAGCAACAGATGGCCCTCAAACAGATCCCCCTGAGGACTGCTGGTTCATTTCCATTTTTGTTTCTTTACAGTATAACACAGAGTAGGGGGTTTATGATTGATTGTGAATTTTGCCTATTTGACTCTCTGCAAGTTACTGAATCTCTCCAAGTCACTTGATTCTAAAATAGAGATAAGAAAAGTATTTTCTGCTTATACACTGTTGGGAATGTAAATTAGTTCAGCCACTATGGAAAGCAGTTTAGGGTTTTCTCAAAGAACTTAAAATAGAGCTACCATTGGACCCAGGAGTCCCATTACTGGGTATACACCCAAAGGAAAATAGATCATTCTACCAAAAAGACATATGCACTTGTATGTTCATTGCAGCACTGTTCACAATAGCAAATACATGAAATCTGCCTAGGTGCCCATCCCTGGTGGATTAAAGAAAAGTGGGCTACGTATGAATCATGGAATACTACACAGCCATAAAAAAGAATGAAATCATGTCCTTTGCAGCACTGTGGATAGAGCTGGAGGCTATAATCCTAAGTGAATTGATGCAAGAACAGAAAACCAAATACCACATGTTCCCACTTATAAGTAGGAGCTAAACATGGAGCACATAAGGACATAAACACGGGAACAACAGACACTGTGGACTATTAGAGGGGGAAGGGAGGGAAGGGCGTGTGGGTTGAAAAACTATCTACTGGGTACTATGCTCACTACCTTAGTGCAATATACCCATGAAACAAACCTGCACATGTAGTCCCTGTATCTAAAATAAATGTTGAAAATTTTTAAAAAAAGAATAGTGTTTTCATGAGGATTAAAACACTTAGCACAGTATCTGGCACAGGGTTAGCGTTAAATAAATGAGTATTAGCAATTACCGTTTCAGGTGTTTGTCAAAAAAGATTCCGACCAAAACTTAATTGAATTTTTGTGGCTCCATATAAATATCCTTTTAAAGGATAGGAAGGCAAATCCCATGTTAAAATTTGCCTATGGAATCCTATATCTCATAGCTTAATATGCTCTTAGGCAAAAAAGTCATGAGACATTTTGTAGTCCCTGAAATTTCCCAATTAAGTTAAATAGATGACTATTTAATCAATTCAAAAAGTAAATATCTGCAAGAAAAATCTAGCAAAGGATCATAAGAAAACAAATGAGATATTTACCGAAGAATCACCATCTCATAAAAAATTAAAATCACACCTGGAACATCTTAAGAAACTTTCACCAAAATTAGTCAAATCAGGCTCTTGTACTATTGAAGTTTTTTTAACATCTAACCTTTATATTTTAAAATGTAATAATGAAGTTTCACAGCAAAAGTTTTATTTCCATCTCTTGTCATTTTTTTCCCACTTGATAGGCCCCAAACTACAATTTCAATAACACCATTAAAATCTTGGGCAACAAAGATAATATGTAATTACCTGATAAATTCGAAAGATGTGATGAACAAATGTAAGTAATTTTGGTTTAAAAAAATCTTATTTTTAAGATGCTTTTGAATTCAAATATTTCCCTTGACCATATATTTTATTTTTTCTGTACAGAAAATATTTAGGACATTAATTTTATAGCCATGCTTTGCATCACTTGACATTTCAAAATGATACCTTTCTTCTTTGAGTTGGGTAAGCATCCATGCTCTTCTTTGACAGAGATTTTACAACTCTTTATCCGACAGAAAAAAGATCGTCTTGAGCCAGAATACACACGTGTCCTTCCAGCGTGGAGATTACTGTGAACTTGCAAACCAGCTTTCGTGCAGAAGGGGGCGAGAGAATAGGTGGAAAAGAATATTGTCAAATAATT